>NC_000023.11:145990757-146293787 GCF_000001405.40 Homo sapiens
ACCTTAGGTCCAGATGGCTCTCAGGACTCTGCTGGGTCTAAGAAAGGCAATTCAAGAGTGATTACAGTTCCACTTCCATCACCAGTCTGAAGGCCATCACAAACTTGTACTTACTCTACCCAGAAAGGACCCAGTGACATGTAATCTAAGTGACTGGCACATTTCTGAGTAGGGAACTTCCCACAGCATGGCTAATTGTGGAGATGCTGCCCCATCTTGCATGTTCTCTCCCTGTAGCTTTCATCACTCCTCCGAGCATAGCATGATGCCTGAACCCTGAACTTATTTATTCATTAGTCCTAGAGAATGCCCAAGCCCACTACCCTCCAACTTGCATGTATGCCTCACTGAGGACCCTCTCACTTGCTCTATGTTTATCTGGATGATTTCCAGGACCAGGAGAGAACAAGTTTGTTCCTGATTTCGCTTCTTCTTTTGGGAAATATCTTTATCTTCTGTATCCCGTAGGTGTTCACATTGTAGCAAACGACCATGAAACTTATTTTGAGGATGACTGAGTTCTAGCTAACCACCAAGGATCTCCTGAGATCAATGAGGACATCTCAAGGTGCCTGTAACTCTATACCCTCACCAGTCTGAGGGCCACCACAAACTTGTACTTCGTGACTCTTATTCCACCCAGAGAAAAAACCAATTACATGTAATCTAAGTTACTGGCACTCTATTAGTCAATTGTCATGCTGCTAATAAAGACATACCAAAGACTGGGTAATTTCTATTGAAAAAAGAGGTTTAATTGACTCACAGTTCAGCATGGCTGGGGAAACCTCAGGAAACTTGCAATTACGGTAGAAGGGGAAGCAAACACGTCCTTCTTTACATGGCGGCAGGAATGAGAAGTGTTGAGCAAAGCGGGTGAAAGCCCCTTATAAAACCATCAGATCTTGTGAGAACTCACTATCATGAGATCAGCAGCATGGGAGTAACCGCCCCCATGATTCAATTACCTCCCACTGGGTCCCTCCCATGACACATGGGGATTATGGGAACTATGATTCAAGGTGAGATTTGGGTGGGGACACAGCCAAACCATATCAGACACCTTTCTGGGAATAGCCCTGAACACAGCATGGTCGAAAGGGGAAGTGCTGCCCCATCTTGCATTTTCATACCCTGCAGCTTTCATCACTCCTCTGAGCACGGTATGATGCCTGAATCCTGAACTTATTTATTCATCAGTTCAAAATAATGCCCAGCCCACAAGCCCCCAACTTGCATGTCTCCCTCAGTGCCCTCTCACCTGCTCTATGTTTACCTGGATGATTGCCCAGACCAGGAGAAAACAAGCTTGTTCCCGTTTTCTATTCTTCAACTAGGAAGTATCTTCATCTCTTCTATCACTTTCTTCTTTAACATGATGGAGTCTACATCATTAGGAATGCACCAGTAGAATTATCTTGAGGATGCCTGAGGTCCATGTGGCCAAATAGGATCTCCTGGCATCAGGGAAGGCAGCTCAAGGCCCTTGGAACTCCACATCAGGGGTCTACAGGCAACTATATGCTTGTACTTGGTAAGCCTTAGTCCACTCAGAGAGGAACTAGTTACATATAATCTAAGTGACTGGCACCTTTCTGGAACATATTATGGACGAATGGGGAGGGGCTACTCCATCGTGCAATGTGAATCCCCATCCTAGAGAATGTCCAGCCCACTGCCCTCCATCATGTATGTTTCCCTCAGCAAGAGCACTCTCACTTGGCTTCATGTTTACCCAGATGGTTGCCAGGACCACGAGAGAACAAGCTTGTTTTTCTGTTCTTCTATTAGGAAGTATCTTCACGTCTTCTATCCTTCTCTTCTCTATCATATAGGTATTCTCATTATTAGGAATGAACCACTGAAATCATCTAGAGGATGTCTGAGGTTCAGGTGGCCAGCTAGGATCTCCTGGCATCATTGAAGACAACTTAGGGCTCCAGCAACTCCAACTCATCGCCTGTCTGAAGACCACCACACACTTGTACTTGGTAAGCCCTACTCCACTCAGAAAGGAAACAGTGACATGTAATCTAAGTGACTGGCACCTTTCTGAATAGGGCACTGCCCACAGCACGACTGATAGTGGAGGTGCTGCCCCATCACCCACCATCACGCACTGCAGGTTTCATCACTCCCCTCAACACAGCAGGCTGCCTGAGCCCTGAACACATTTATTAAGTCCTAGAGAAGTTCCAGCCCACTGCCCTCCAACTTGGCATGCCTGCCTCAATGAAGACCTTCTCACTTGATTTATGTTTCCCTGGATGATGGCCAAGACGAGAAGAAAAAAAATCTTGTTCCCGTTCTCTCTTCTTCTTTTAGGAAGTATCTTTATCTCTTCTATTATTACCTTATCTAACCTGTAGGTGCTCACATTGTTAGAAATGGATCATTAAAATCATCTTGAGGATCCCTGAGTTCCAGGTGGCTTCCAAATCTCTCCTGGGATCAATGAAGGCAGTTGAAGGTGCTTGCAGGTCTGTCTCCTCACCAATCTGAACGCCATCACAAAATTGTACCTGGAGAATCTTGCTCTACCCAGAAAGGAGCTGGAAACATCTAATCTAAGTGACTGACCCCTTTTGGAGTAGGGCACTGCCCACAACATGGCTAATTGTGGGGGTGCTGTCCCATCTTGCATGTTCTCCCCCTGTAGCTTCCATCACTCCTGAGCACAGCATGATGCCTGAACCCTGAATTTATTTATTCAACAGTCCTGGATCATGTCTAACCCACTGCCCTCCAATGTACATGCCTCCCTAAATGAGGAACCCCTCACCTGCTCTATGTTTACCTGGGTGATCGCCAAGACCAGGAGAAAGCAAGATTGTTCTCATTCTATTTTTCTAGTAGGAATTATCTTCATCTTGTCTTTCTCATCTATAACCTGCATGTGTTCATGTTGTTAGGGACAGACGATTTAGAATATCTCGACGATGCCTGAGGTCCACATGGCCAACTAAGGTCTCCTGGTATCAGGAAAGGTACCTCAAGGCTCTTGAAACTCCACCCTATCATGGGTCCAAAGGCCACTACAAACTTATACTTGTTGAGCCTTACACTACCAAGGAAGAAACCAGTGATGTATAATCTAGGAAACTGGCACATTTCTAAGTAGGACACTGCACACAGCATGTCTGATAGCGGAGGTGCTGGCCCATCTTGCAAGGTCAACCCCCGTCCAGGAGAATGTCCAGTCTGCTGCCCTCCATGACGCATGTCTCACTCAATGAGACATGCTCACTGCTCCATATTTGCCCAGATGGTTGCCAGGACCATGAGAGAACAAGCTCGTTTTCTGTTCTTCTATTAGGAAGTATCTTCATTTCTTCTATCTTTCTATTCTCTGAAAAATAGGTATTTCCATTGTTAGAAATGCATCATTGAAATCACCTTGAGAACACCTAAGGTTCAGGTGGCCAGCTAGGATCTCCCGGCCTTACTGAAGACAACTAAAGCCTCCAGCAACTCCACTGCATCACCTGTCCGAAGGTCACCATGAACTTGTACTTGGTAAGACTTACTCTACTCAGAAAGGGAATAGTTACATGTAATCTAAGCAACTGATGCCTTTCCAAGTAGGGCACTTCCCACAGCATGTCTGATTGTAGAGGTGCTGCCCCATCATCCACCATCGTGCACTGCAGCTTTCATCACCCCACTCAACACAGCAGGATGCCTGAACCCTGAACTTAATCTTAATTCCTAGAGAATTTCCAGCCCACTGCCCTCCAACTTGGCATGCCTGCCTCAGTGACGACCTTCTTATCTGATTTATGTTCACCTGGATGATGGCCAAGACAAGAAAAGATTGTTCCTGTTTTCTCCTTTTAGGAAGTAACTATCTTTTCTGTCATTGCCTTCTCTAATTTGTAGGTGCTCACGTTGTTAGAAATGATCATCTTGACGATGCCTGAATTCCAGGTGGTTTCCAAGGTTCTCCTGGGATCAATGAAGGCAGCTCAAGTTGCTTGCAGGTCTACCCCCTCACCAGTCTGAGGACCACCACAAAAGTGTACTTGGTGAGCCTTCCTTCACCCAAAGAGGTGTCAGTCACATGTAATCTAAGTGACTGACAGCTTTTTGAGTAGAGCACTGCCCACAACATGGCTAATTGTGGAGGTGCTGTCGCATCTTGCGTGTTCTCCACCTGTAGCTTCCATCACTCCTCTGAGCACAGCATGATGTCTGAACCCTGAACTTATTTATTCATCAGTCCTGGATCATGTCTAGCCCACTGCCCTCCAAGGTATATGCCTCCCTAAGTGAGGAATCTCTCACCTACTCTATGTTTATCTGGATGATTGCCAGGACCAGAAGAGAGCAAGATTGTTCCCATTTTCTATTTTTCTAGTAGGAATTATCTTCATCTTGCCTTTCTGATCTATAACCTGTAGGTGCTCATGTTGTTAGGGACAAGCCACTTAACTTATCTTGAGGATGCCTGAGGTCCACATGGCCAACTAAGATCTGCTGGTCTCAGGGAAGGTACCTGAAGGCTCTTGCAACTCTACACTATCATGGGTCCAAAGGCCACTACAAACTTATACTTGGTGTGCCTTACTCTACCTGGAAAGGAACTAGTGACATATAATCTGGGCGACTGACACATTTCTGGGCAGGGCACTGCACACAGCATGGCTGATTGTGGAGGTACTGCCCTATCTTGCACAGTTATACCCTACAGCTTTCACCACTCCCCTCAACACAGCATGGCGCCTGAACCCCGAACTTAACTTATTCATAAGTCCCAAAGAATACCCAGCTCATTGCCCTTCAACTTGCATGCTTCCTTCAGTGAGTACCCTCTCATCTGCTTTGTTTAGCCAGATAATTACCAAGACCAGTAGTGAACACACTTTTTCCAGATTTCTCCTCTTCTACAAAACATATATTGATCTTTTATCTTTTGCTTCCTTAACACATAAGTGCTCATATTGTTTGGTGTGCACCATCGAAATCATCTTGAGGATGCCTGAGGTCCACGTGACCAACTAGGATCTTCTGGCATTCGAGAAGGCAGTTGAAAGGCCCCTGACGCTCCACTGCATCAGGAGTCCAAAGGCCAGCCAAAAGTTGTGTTTGGTGATATTACTCCACCCAGAAAGGAACCAGTTACATATAATCCAAGTGACTGGAACTGTTCTAGAAAAGGCACTGCATACATTATGGCTGAATACGGAGGTGCTGCCCAGTCTCGCATGGTTGCTCCCAGCAGCTTTCATCACTCTCCTAAACGCAACAGAATGCCTGAACCCTGATCTCATTTATTCATCACTCCTAGAGAATTTCCAGCTCACTGCCCTCCAATTTGCGTATCTCACTCAGTAAAAGTACTCTCACCTGCTCGGTGTTTGCCCAGATCACACCCAGGAGCAGGAGAGAACAAACTTGTTCCATTTTCTATTTTTTTTTTTTTTTTTTTTTTTTTTTGAGACGGAGTCTCGCTCTGTCGCCCAGGCTGGAGTGCAGTGGCGGGATCTCGGCTCACTGCAAGCTCCGCCTCCCGGGTTCACGCCATTCTCCTGCCTCAGCCTCCCAAGTAGCTGGGACTACAGGCGCCCGCCACTACGCCCGGCTAATTTTTTGTATTTTTAGTAGAGACGGGGTTTCACCATTTTAGCTGGGATGGTCTCGATCTCCTGACCTCGTGATCTGCCCGCCTCGGCCTCCCAAAGTGCTGGGATTACAGGCGTGAGCCACCGCGCCCGGCCATCTTGTTCCATTTTCTGTTCTTCTATTAGGAAGTAACTTCACGTCTTCTATCCCTCTCTTCTCTACAGGTGTTCACGTCTTAAGGATGCCTGAGGTTCAGGTGGCCAGCTAGGATCTCCCGGCATTATTAAAGACAACTCCTGCAGCTCCACCCTATTACCTGTCCGAAGGCCACCACAAACTTGTACTTAGTGAGCCTTACTCTACGCAGAAAGGACACAGTGACATGTAGTGTAAGTGACTGGCACCTTTCTGAGTAAGGCACTGCCCACAGCATGGCTGATTGTGAAGGTGCCGCCCCATCCCCCACCATTGTCCCCTGCATCTTTTATCACTCCCTTCAACACAGCAGGATGCCTGAATCTGGAACTTACTTATTATTAAGTCCTAGAGAATGTCCAGCCCACTGCCCACCAACTGTCATGCCTGACTCAGTGAGAACCCTCTCACTTGCTCTATGTTTACCCAGTGATTGCCAGGACCAGGTGAGAACAAGCTTGTTACCGTTTTCTATTACTCTATTAGGAACGATCTTCATCTCATCTTTCTCTTCTTTAACCTGTAGGTGTTCACATTGGTAGGAATGCACCACTGAAATCATCTTGAGGATGCCTGAGGTCCACATGGCCAGCTAGGTTCTCCTGTTATCAGGGAAGGCAGCTTGAGGCTTTTGCAGCTCTACTCCAACACGGGTACAAAGGCCACCACAAATATATACATGGTGAGCCTTGCTCTACCCAGAAAGGAGCCAGTGACATAAAATCTACATAAATGGCACCTTTCTGAGTAGGGCATTGCACACAGCATGGCTGATTGCGGAAGCGCTGCCCTGTGCCCCACCATTGTCCCCTGCAGGTTTTATCATTCCCCTCAATAGAACATGATGCCTGAACAATTTGATTCATAAGTCCTAGAGAATGCTCATCCCACTGCTCTCCAAACTGCATCCCTCCTTAAGTGGAGACCCACTAATCTTCTCCATGTTTACCTAGATGATTGACAGGAGCAGGAGAGAATAAGCTTGGACATGTTTCCTTTTCTTAAGAAGTATCTTTATCTTCTCAAACTTCTAAAAATGGAAGTTTTTTATATATATAGCATTTCATGTGGTTTGATCTCCCTAAAGTTTACACAAAAAACCCTCCAATACACCCACCACATCCTTCTTTTCTCCATATATTCCTTCATTCCAAATACATAGAATAAAAATGACAAGAATTGCAAAAATTCCTAAGTGAAGCTAAAGTACATTAGAGATGTGAAAGACAGAAACTTATTTTCTTCATCCATCCTTTGAGAGGAAACTACACTTTTAACTCATAACTTTTGAATTTTCCTACAGGCCTTTTGTGCTCTGATTTTCCCTGAAATAATCTGAATCAGAGGGAGGTTGTAAGACAATATGTGGGGAGATACCTGACCCCAATCCAGTTCTCCTGGCCATGATTGGAACCTTGCACTCACTCCCAACCATGAAATTACCAATACCTACGTGATCATTCATCTATTATTCTGCTACAAAGCGTGACACAAAGGTAGCAAAGTTTCATATCCTTTATTCACCAAAACAAACGTAATTGTTGATAGGAGCAGCAGAGAAGAAATATGCCCAATATCTGGGACCCTTAGTGGTCTAGAAAAGCTGTGAGAGCAAACTTCTGAAAAATGATGCCTATTTTGACCCAGTTGTGCCAGTATTTATTTCTTGCATTGGCCTTAGGATGTTTATCTCACACAGATGATGATAAGCTGTTTACCACGCAAGAACAAGCACTGAATACACCAGTTGGCATGGAGTCAGAGACTACTATGTATCTCCTTATATTTCATTGCCTTATTTCATAAGTTATGTGAAAAAATAAAGGTAAATACAAATAAAAGGACAAGAGCAACAACAATAATTTATATTTCTGAAATGCTCACTTACACCACATCAATGTACTTGGGAATTTTATGTGAATCTTCTCATATGTCCTCACAATCTTTTACATACTGACACGGATTTGTCATGAAGATTAATGAAAAAACATGTGAAGATACGCTTGGATCCTCAAATATAACACAGGAGATATTATGCTTATGGCAACATAAAAGGCACATCTAGAGAAGAAAAATTACCTATGAAATTTCCTATTTACAACCTACTTAACCATCTATAAGTATGTGGGTAGTTCTATCACGTATAATTCACCAGCGCTATTAACTGTCTTTCTTTACACCAAATGGTCCCGAGATCTTGATAATTCTGATGCATGAGAGAGCAATACAGGAACAGCTGGCAGCAGGTACTTTCAGATTTATGATGGGAAGGCAGAGTTCTCCTAAGTGCCTCGCTTGGGACATACTGACTGTGATGATGTGGAATGAGAATTTCTTTAATACAGCAATGCATTAAAAATGGAGATATCACTGTCTATCTAGATTGATTAAAACATTAAAACCACTAGATTTGGCCAGGCGCGGTGGCTCACGCCTGTAATCCCAGCACTTTGGGAGGCTGAGGTGGGCGGATCACAAGGTCAGGAGATCAAGACCATCCTGGCTAACACGATGAAACCCCGTCTCTACTAAAAAAAATACAAAAAATTAGCCCGGCGTGGTGGCGGGTGCCTGTAGTCCCAGCTACACAGGAGGCTGTGGTGGGAGAATGGTGTGAACCCATGAGGCGGAGCTTGCAGTGAGCAGAGATGGGCTACTGCACTCCAGCCTGGGTGGTAGAGCGAGACTCCATCTCAAAAAAAAAAAAAAACCAAAAAAACCCAAAACACTAGATTAGTAAGGTTGGGAGAAAACAAAGAGATACTACACTAAATACCTCCACAAACTGTCAGCATTAGCCATCAATCAATATTAGAAAAATAAGAATTTTATCAAAAAAGAAAGATGGATTTGTAGAAGTGCCCAACCGCATACTCAGTTCTTGGAAAATACAAACCCTTCCAAGAGGAGACTTCAGGATTGCTAAGGACTTAAACCCCTTACCAGATGAATTAGGTGGTGCAATGCTTTACTGAAAACTATTTTAAAATCCTAGTCTTGTAATCATACAACTGGAATGGTCTCAAAAATAATGAGCCATATCAGAGGTAAGGTGGTAAGGAATAGATAATATGTAAAAATTATGAGCTTCTTGTACATAAGCCTCTACATGTCTAGGGATTTCCAGGCTCCTACCATTTGGTAAGTGGAGACTACAGTTTCCAGATCAGATGGAGGAACAGTGACCAAATTTATCTGGTGTCTAAAACAACATAAAACCCAGATATATACAGAAAAGCTTGCCTTCAGACACTGTAGAGTGATCTGTGAGAGAGGGGACACATTAGAACAGTCCATCCATTCTCCTGCCAACTTCTCAGAGAGAGAATATCGACTCCAGTGCAGAGAATGGGAACCCAGGCAAAGCCTGGCAATTTTCAACATTAACAGATTAAAATGGAAAAAAGAGACCATCTCACTAGATGCAGGGAGATATGTGACTAAATCTAACATCCATATCTGAAACATAATAACAGCAAATCAGGCATAGCACAGAGTATATCCTCAATTGCTTGAATGGCATCTATGAAAAAACACAGCTAAATTAAGACTTAATTGTTAACGTTCTTATGCTTGACGCCTGAGATCAGGAACCAGATGAGAATGTCCCACTCACCATTTCTGTGCAAGAATTATACCAAATTAAAGTAAGGAAATCAGGTAAGGACATAATATTTTATAGTTTGCAATCATGGATGAGTAAAATCAGGAGTCTGTCATCTTCAACCATTGACTTCCCCTTACCTGTGTTTGCAGTGGCTTCAATGCTTGCACTGCAAGTAAATTATCTCTGCAGGCATAGATATCCACAGAGTATTCTAGAAAAATATGTAAAATGAATAATAAAGCAGAACAAAGCAGAACACATTACAATATGTATATGAAAAACCACCAATGAAATCCTTTGAGTGATAACTGATGATATGCTTCTTAGTACTAATGTAATAGCAGTGTTACTAGGACTGATACCATTAGTTATAGTATTAGTACTGCTTGCAGTAGTACTAACAGGAAAATCTGCTGAATGATTACATGTCTGGCAGATATGTAGTTCAGATTTTCATATGGATTTCCACATTTCATACACACGACAAATCAGTACCAAAGAGACAGTATCCTAATGTTTTGATTTGTCATGGTGATTGAGGACATGTGTAGAACATACATTTGGAAATGGAAAAAAACCAGAAATATACAGATAAGCATAGTAATCACAGATAATCATGTGATCATAGAACAACATTAAGTTAAGACTGCTACGCAGTGTTAACCTCACAGAAACCATCCACATTAACCTCAGAAAAACAGAAAATAAGAAGAAATTCATCTTGCTGCTATACGTCCTCCAGTCTGACCTAATAAAAGGTGTTTATTGAACATGCTCTTATTTTTACCAAAGTACTAGTAATATAGTCTCTACTAGTACGACTACTCTACTACCAGTATCACTACAAGGAGGTGAAGGAAAAGCAGCAGTAGCTACATAACTGATGACTTACATGGTTTGCAATGTCCATGAGGCCTTTAGATGGATTATCTCTTTTGACCCTAACAACAAACATGTGCCATTGAATGTTTTACTGAATCAATGACTCAGGTAAGTTGCAAGGATTAAGGAGACAACATTTGTAGACTCTTTTGGGACCTACAAAGAAACAAAGAAGCTACGTAATTATAGTATGACTATGAAACATTTAATACCTAAAATAAATGACATACTAATTTACTATTCACGACCTATGTAGCTATCAGCATGTATATTTTCTTTCTCATTTCTATTAGTAATAATTTACCGGTGCTGCAGTTGGAGGATGAAAATCTTGAAAGGGCTGGCAGTAAAGCTCTACCAATCCATTATAATTGTGACGTCTCAAAATTTGCAAATCACAGATTATGGTACAGAATGAGGCTGTCTGTATTGAGTTCAGTCTAAATATATAGACACTGATTCCCCACCCACAAATATGTAAAATGCGACAACTAACAGATAGTTTAAAGTGGGAAGAAAAAAGGACAGGTTAAAAAGAATGACAACCTTCCTCAAACCACCAGCAATAATTGTGTGAAGACTTGTTCAAAAGTTAAAATTCCCTAAAAATATACACATGTATATACATATATTCACAGATATCCATGCAGAAATAAGAAAATGTCCCCAAAAGCACATATACACGAAATTGAAGGGATTATGTAACTCAGACTTTATCCACATTAATAATGAGTAAGTCCTGTATTGTTCATTTCTAGTTCATTGCCTGTCCATACCTAACACTCTTTATATTATTTTAAAAGAACTATGATAAAATTCTTCTAATGCTTATTTTCTAATGCAGATCAAAGATATGAATAAAAAGTTATACAAAGAAAAATATGTGGAGAATCTACCACAGGAGTTCCTAAATGGTATTCTTAACAGTTACATAATAATAATCAACACAAGGTAATCATGGCTTACAAATTCAGTTTCCAAAAATAACTGGTGGCTGATATGACATGTTAAATGAAGCAAATGGCTGGAAAACCCATATTGAGCTGACAGTTCATAAAACTCATGATGTGATAGGTGAGTTCTACAATTAGAAGTAACTCTTGGTGACTTAACAACTCTGATTATGCAGGCTATTTATTAAATACTGCAATTCATTATACAGAGGGAGGTTGTTATCTTTATGGAATTATCTGAAAAATGAAGAGAACTGGTTGACAGCTAAGGAAATGAGGCAAGAATAAAAGACAAAAAATGACAAAGTTATTTTGCCTGTTTTCCAGCCACAATCATACAGCAAAAATAAGATTGTATTCAAAACAGAAATCAATCAAAAATTGGTAGGATAAATAAAGTTTTCACACATATAGACACAAAACTATTTGGTTTCCTTTATTAGACATAACATAGGTTTGCTTGGATAAGTATTTTTCTTAATTTTAAACGACTAAGGGCCAGGCGTGGTGGCTCACACCTATAATCCCAGCATTTTGGGTGGCCGAGGTGGGTGGACCACCTGAGGTCAGAAGTTTGAGAGTGGCCGATACGGTGAAACCCTGTGTCTACTAAAAAAACAAACATTAGCTGAGTATGGTTGCGGGTGCCTGTAATCCCAGCTACTCGGGAGGCTGAGGCAGGAGAATCCCTAGAACCTGGAGCTAGAGGTTGCAGTGAGCCGAGATCGCACCATTGCACTCCAGCCTGGGTGACATGAGTGAAACTCCGTCTCAAAAAAAAAAAAAAAGACTAGGAAGCTAACATTTAAGAAAGATGAATGAAATAAATTAATACATTTGAATATTGAATATATTTTCCTAGGTTCCCCAATTATGGTTAGACAGCAAAACATTTATTACGAAAAATTAAGACAAATTCATTTCATAGAAAGAGAACAGTTCCATTAATTTTCTGTGGTGACTTGCAAAACGTTTCTACACTCAGCAATGAATTCCTTCTGTAAATTATATTTGCTCAATTTAATTAATAAATACAGTAGCAATAAAGATAATTATTAACATTTACTCAATGTTGATTTAATTAGATTATATAATATATATTTGGAGATTTTTTCATTTGATCCAGAAAACACCTATATTATATAAAAATCATTATTAATTTGATAGCACAGATTGGCTGTGAAGTTTGAGTGGAGCAACATGTATAAACTACTTGAGTTACATAAAATGTCATAAGCACATCACTGAGTAGTGTATCACAGCGTTCATCACTGTGGCTGTCAAGGCTAATTCTTAATGCCACAGCAATGTCCAATTTCGACACTACTTAAAACATAGAAGTCCTGGAATTTCTGAGGTTAATCCTGTACTCGTTGCTATTATTAGTGAATATTAAACCCCACTATTCCATTGGTCCTCTTCAGGTTCTAGATTCTTCTCAATTTTCTGGGGTTTAAGTGGATTCCAAATCCCAATGATCTTACCAGGGAGTAATGTTGGTCCTGTTACAACAAACCATTTATTTTTTTAATCTGCATGATATTGAATCCAGTTTCAAATACAGGCCTAAAACAGTACCTAGGATAAACTCAAAAGAGGTAATTCATAACAAACACTTATGAACACTCCACAAGCGTCTTACAGAGCAGCCAATACCTTCGTTCTGGCTTTTGACAAAAGAGACTGTTTGCGAGTCGACTGGCAAGGAGACAAGAGGAAAGCCTCAAATCTTTCTCCTTGACGGGCGTTGGGTTGGATTTTATAAGCAGAGGGTGATGAGGAGTGATCTGACTGGCTCTTGCAATGAGGTGATGCTAGGAGGCAGGATCTGACGGGATCCTGCCATGGGGTGACACAAGGGCTCAACCTGGTGGTATCCTGGGTCCTGCCATGCAGTGTCCACTTCCTAATTCAGTCCCCACTTCTTGGTCTGAGCACTTAGGTCCCTCCCATGGCTGCACGCTTAGTTCATCTGATCATGTTCAAGTTATGTGACCTTCAACGTGGGGGTCCATAGCAACTGTAAAAGAACTCACAACTTTGTTACAGAAAAGTTGTTACAAACCCTCCCTTTTTTATGTCCATTCCTCAATCTTGAGAGAAAAGGGGTAAGGACCATTCTAGATACTTCCTGCTGATTAGGATCACAGACCTTGTTTAAAGAACTGAAATTGTTTTTATTATCATATCTGCCATGCTGATCTGTGATCAGTGATCGTGGATGTTACTATTGTAATTGTTTTGGGGGTGCCACAAACCCCATCCATATAAGACAGCAAACAATTGTTAAATGTTATGTGTGTCCTGACTGTCCCCCCAATCATCTATTTCCCTTCTTTTTCCCTCTCCTTAGGATTCCTTATTCCCTGAGACCAAAAAAAAAAAAAAAAAAAAAAAGCTATGGAAATTAGGCCACTTAAAAACCCTACAATGACTTCTAAGTGTTCAAGTGAATGGAAGAGTCACACATCCCTATCTATACATTAAAAACTGATTAAGATTAGTGAGGAAAATATGTCAAAACCCAAGATAGGCCAAAAGCTAGGCCTTTTGCACCAGACAGTGAGCCAAGTTGTGGATGCAAGGAAAAGTTTTCGAAGGAAATTAAAAATTCTACTCCAGTGAACATGCAAAGGAGAAGGAAATAAATCAGTCTTATAGCTGATATGGAGAGTTTGAGTGCTCTGGACAGATAAAACCAGACACAACAGTCTCTTAGGCCAGAAACTAATCCAAAGCAAGACTCTCCTCAATTCTATCAAGGCTGAGAGAGGTGAGGAAGTTGCAGAAGAAAAGTTTGAAGCTAGCAAAGGTGGGTTCGTCAGGTTTAAGGAAAGAAGCCATTGCCATACAAAAATGTAAGGAGAAGCACTAAGTGTTGATATAGAAGCTATAGCCAAGTTATCCAGATCTAGTTAAGATCATAGATGAAGTTGGCTACATGAAACAAGAGATTTTCAGTCCAGATGACACCACTTTCTAATGGAAGAACAAGCCATCTAGGATTTTTGTAGCTAGAGAGGAAATAACACTGCGTGGCCTCAAAGCTTTAAAGGACAGGGTGATGACTCTCTTGTTAGGGGCTAATGCAGCTGATGACTATAAGTTGAAGCCAAAGATCACTTATGATACTAAAAATCCTAGGGCCCTTGAGAATTATGCTAAATCTTCTCTGCCTGCACTCTATAAATGGAACAGCAAAGCCTGGATGACAGCACATCTGTTTACAGCATGGTTTACTACTTTAAACCCACTATTGAGATCTACTGCTTAAAAATCAAAAAGATTCCTTTCAAAGTATTTTTGCTCATTGACAATGCACCTAGTCACCAAAGAGCTCAGATGGAGAAATACAAGGAGATAAATGTTTTCCTGTCTGCTAACACAATATCCATTTTGGAGCCCATGAATCAAGGAGTGATTTTAATTTTCAAGGCTTATTATTTAAGAAATACATTTCATAAGGCTATAGCTGTCATAAATAGTAATTGCTATGATGGATCTAGGCGAAGTCAATTAAAAATCTTCTGTAAGGGATTCACCATTCTAGATTCCCTTAAGAATGTACATGATTTATAGGAGGCTGTCAAATATCAAAATTAATAGGTGTTTCGGAGAAGTTGATTCCAACCCTCAGGGATGAATCTGAGGCGTTCAAGACTTCAGTGGAGGAAGTAATTGCAGACTTGGTGGAGATAGCAAGAGAACAAGAAATATTGAAGCCTCAAGGTGTGTCTGAATTGCTACAATCTCATGATAAAACTTTAACAAGAGAGCAAAGAAAGTGGTTTCTTGAGATGAAATCTACTCCTGGTAAAAATGCCGTGAACAGTGTTGAAATGACAACAAAGAATTGAAAATAGTAAATAAATTTAGTTGTAAATGCAACAGCAGGGTTGGAGAGGATTGACTCCAAATTGGCAAAAAAGTTCAATTGTGGGTAAAATGCTACCCAAGAGCATTGCATGCTACAGTGAAATCTTTTGTAAAGGCAAGATCAATTGATACAGCAAACTTCAACTTCAGAAATTGCCCCAACCACCCCAACCTTCAGCAACTACCAACAACAGCCAATGATATTGAGGCAAGACCCCTACCAGTAAAAAGATGATGACTCACTGAAGGATTAGATGATCTTTAGCATTTTTTTTACCAATACAGAATTATTAAATTTAGACATGTACTTTTTAGACATAATGCTATTGCATATTTAATAGACTACAGTACAGCGTAAACCTAAGTTTTATATGCACTGGGAAACCAAAGAATTTGTGTGACTTGCTTTCTTGTGATATATACTTCATTGTGGTGGTCTGAAACTGAACACACAATATCTCTGAGGTATGCCTATACTTTATGTTGCCTAGGTTCTCTACTTACTATGAAATTATACCATATCTATTATTTTTTAAAAAATTACTAAAGACATTTCCTTTTTTCAAACAATGGAAACTATATCACTAATTATTATCAAGGGCCATGAACAATTCACTACACTCCACACTCACCAATATTTCCCATCTTTTAAATGATAATCATTTGTGGTATTCATAAAATAAAAACAACCAATATTAACATCAATTTGATGCTTCTTAACGTTTCAGATAGAGTGTCTGAACTGAATTTGTGAACTCTTTAATCATCAAAAAATTATATAAACTTATTTAATTTATATTATATGATTTTTACTAGTTTTAAGTGGAGAGGTGTAAAATAATTTTGAAACTTAAGAAGTGACAATATAAACATAAATGTTTATGTAATCACAGCATCCATTTTTACTAAAGACGCATACATTAGTGACACAGTTATTTCTCATTCAGACCTACCATACAAAACCACAGGATGTGAACCTCAGCAAAGTCCTTCTGAGAACTAACTGTTACCATCTCACTGCTTGCCTCTATTACCTCAAATCCTCACAGCTGCCTGAGGTCTACGTGGCACATGGCAAAGATTGTTTCATGTGAAGATCCAGGTAGTTATAGATAGATTAAGAAAGATACGTGGAATAACATTTATAAAAAGCAATAGTTTTTAAACAATTTGTTCCCATTTTACTAGATATGCCAAGAACTGAAAATTTTCATTAAAATTCATTAGAACATGACTTTATTAAAAGTTCACTTGGAATGGAATATTAGCAAGTCATTTAGCCTTTAAATGTCCCAAAATTTCCAAAAAGGTGAAAATTAAACTTCACCCTAGAAACACTTGTAAAATTAATCATCATCATAGTAGTTATGGTCATAACCATCATTTGATGAATGATTACATATCTAGGAGATATAGTACTTTGGGAACCTAAAAGGCAACATAGAAGTAAAAACAATTTGATTATCACATGATTAGATCACTTACCTGCTATAACCCATTTTCACTGCATTCTAAATCAGTTAGTAATTGATGCTATAAGGCTTTATTCAACTCTAATTCGTAAAAACTGTAAGTGTAATAATCTAACAAGAACAGTCTAAAATATAAGGAGGACTCCTAGAGAACACAGCTGGGTTTGAAAACCTAGTTACACATGCTCGCCTCAGCAGCACATTTAGTAAAAACCTAGTTATATACCTGACTGCCAGTAATACCAAAAATAATGGAGATAAAAACATTATCAACATAAACAAAAAAGGCTAAGAAAGTTCTTATCATATCTTTTCTAGATATTCATGAAGAACATAACATGGATTTCTTGACAAAAACAAAATGTACCAAAATCAGGAGATGCGAAATGTCTACTTTGTAAGAAGGACTTTGATTTCATTTTGCCCAGATTATCTCATTGCCAATGCACACTGAGAACATAGATGTTACAGTCAGGGAAATTTTACAAAGCAATGTTATTTTTAACATCTAAATATCAACAAGTTATATCATTCAAGAAATCCTTAGAGAAAGTAGGAAAAATATTTGCCACACTGCATCCTCAATGGTATTGTCAAAATTTGAACATCCAGGGTTATTGTCCAAGTAATTCACAGAGACTTTGTTAGAAAAGAGTGCAAACTGTTGTGACATATGGGAAAACGTGTATATAGTAGAAAAATATTTACATCCTCAGTTTACATCATTAATCCAAATGTATACCACTTTAATTACAGTGTTGTATTATAAAACACCAAATGCTTTTTGATCTAGACAGGTGAAAATTTTTCACATTCATGAACCGATAATACATAAAAATCAGAGTCTAATACCGTATTTTACCAAATGACAGGCTCAAGACTCACACAGAAATGCACATGTTAGCTTCGATTATGGGGACAGAATACATGTTTGTTTAAACCAAAAAAATAGATTTCATTATTAAGTTACCATGGAATTCATTATGAAAAAGATATGGGAATGCAGAAATATGTGTTCGTCTGGGGTTAAGTGTATCTTAGATTCACGAATTACTGTAAAAATAAAAGTACATGCATCATTAAAAATCCAATATGAAAAAAAGAAAAACAATGGTTACTTTCTCTGGTGTCCTAAACTAGTCACTTTAATCTAATAAAAGTTTTCTTTTTTTCTTTTTTTTCTTTTTTTTTTTTTTTGAGACGGAATTTCGCTCTGTCGCCCAGACTGGAGTGCAGTGGCTCCATCTTGGCTCACTGCAAGCTCTGCCTCCCAGGTTCACGCCATTCTCCTGTCTCAGCCTCCCAAGTAGCTGGGACTACAGGCGCCCACCACCATGCCCGGCTATTTTTTTGTATTTTTAGTAGAGATGGAGTTTCACCGTGTTAGCCAGGATGGTCTCAATCTCCTGACCTCGTCATCCACCCGCCTGGGCCTCCCAACGTGCTAGGATTACAGGCGCCCGGCCAAAAGTTTTCTATCTGTATAACAATAATTTTTAATGTTAATAAAAATCATAATTAAGCATTAATACTGATCATTAACACTGACTTAATGATCACTTACCTGTCATTATGAGTTCCTTTGATCAAATTCTAGTAGTGTTCAAAATCACTCACAACATTCCTCATTACATGAAATTGTTATTAATTTTCTATCCCAGAACTGTTGTTAGAAATATTTGAAAAATACGCGTTAAAAATTTTTAACAAAAATAGTGACAGGCACATAAGTGAGTACATTATCACAACATGAACTTCCATTATGGTAAGGTGACTGTAACTACAGAGATTTCCCATTCAGAAATTCCTCACATACATACACAAAAATTCCAGAATGTTAGTGAAGACTAACCATCCTTTCTAACTGCCCATCTTTCGTGGTTAAGTTCCCGTGGTGTCTGGGTCCTAGGAGAGAGATAAGACCTAACTTCATTAACTGGAAGCACACTTGGCCCAGGGTGATGCAAACTGAATGTTGCTTCTTTTGTAACTTCAAACTCACCTCCAAATGTGGGACTAACATAGTGAAACCCAACAAGAGTGATGACAGAATAATACATATTTTGGCAATAGCTGGGATCAAACTTTGCTAACTACATAGAAGTCAATCATTCCAACAGTACATTAATAGAAGAGATACTGTGCTCAAAAAACAGAATGAATTGATTTTTAAAAATATGTAATCTGAATCTTGGATTGAAAAGAATCAAAAGCGGTCAACTGAAGCCGCTCACATCTGCTCTCTTCCCAACGTCTTCTTTTTGTTTTCCAGGCTTCAACTGTATGAAAATGCATTTAGATCTCTTTTGGCATGGATTTGCAAGAAGTGATCTAAAGGGTGAACACATTGAATATCAATCAGCAGAATATATTTCAATCTGTACAAAAAACCGGAAAAAACTACAACATCCTGGAAATACAATTGAACACACTGGTCTGTCTATATGATGACAAATGGCATATGAAAAATAGAGCTATATTGTAAACACCGGGCATCTAGAACTGGTTTAAAGCGAGATGTGGAGAAGCATGTTTATTGTGAGAGATAATTAAATTTTACATTATAAACACCTACTCGTTGTACTAGATTCACTGAATTTAAAAATATTCATTGAATCATAATAGTTCAATGTATTTTTAAAAATCTTCCTGTGTGATATTATCAGGTTATTTAGTCATTACAATTTCTATGAATACCATCCTGTTAAAAGTGGTAAGTAAAAGTGTTCTTTGTGTTAATAATAAACATAAGAGTAGCAGTAGTAACAGCAACGGCAAAAAGTAGTATCTCCTGAATAATTACACACTAGACAGGAAATATAATAGATTTTCTAATTTAACAATCATAACAAATATGTATTGACATTTTTAATACTTCTTAATAATCATAACATTTAATGAATATGAAAGGAGACAGTATGTGAAATGACAGTTCCGCCCCGTATAAAAATGTTTTGGTCAACGACAGACTGCATATACAATGGTGGTCCCATAAGTTTCAAATGGAGCTGAAAAATTCCCATTGCCTGGTGACATAGTAGCTGTCCTAAAATTCTAGTGCGACACATTACTCACGTGTTTGTGGTGATACTGGTGTAAACAAACCTACAGTGCTACCATTCATATAAAAGTGTAGCACAGGGCTAGGCGTGGTGGCTCATGCCTGTAATCCCAGCATTTTGGGAAGCCGAGACGGGCGGATCACCTGAGGTTGGGAGTTTGAGACCAGCCTGACCAACATAACATGGAGAAACCCCGTCTCTACTAAAAATACAAAATTAGCTGGGCGTGGTAGTGCATGCCTGTAATTCCAGCTACCTGGGAGGCTGAGGCAGGAGAATCGCTTGAACCCAGGAGGCAGAGGTTGTGGTGAGCCGAGATTGCGCCATCGAACTCCAGCTTGGGCAACAAGAGCAAAACTCTGCCTCAAAAAAAAAAAAAGTGTAGCACATATAATACATACAATACATAATATGTGATGACAATAAGCAAGTACGTTATGGGATTAAATTTTTCTATACCATACCTTTTATTATTTGAGCATATACAATGGTGGTTCCATAAGATTATAGTATAGCTGAAAAATTCATACGATTTGGTGTTGTCATAACATAGCACACAAAATTATGTATAGTATATAATATTTGATAATGATAATAAATGACTGTTACTGGAATATGTATTTTCTATACTATTTATCATTTTAGAAGGTACTCCTTGTACTTCTTAAAACCAAAGTTAACTATAAAACAGCCTCAGTTTCTCCAGGAGATATTCCAGAGGAAGGCATTGTTATTATGGGACATGACGACACCATGTGTGTTACTGCCTCTGAAGAACTAGTGGAGCAAATGTGAAGGTGGAAGACAGTGACATTGATGTTCCCGACCCTAGATAGGTCTAGGTTAATGTGTGTGTCTGTGTATCTTACTTTTTTGTTTTTGTTTTGAGATGGAGTCTCGCTCTGTCACCAGGCTGGAGTGCAGTGGCGTGATCTTGCCTCTCTGCAACCTCTGCTTCCTGGGTTCAAGTGAGTCTCCTGCCTCAGCCTCCCGAGTAGCTGGGACTACAGGTGTGCACCACCACACCCAGATAATTTTTTTTTTTTGTATTTTTAGTAGAGATGGGGTTTCACCATGTTGGCCAGGATGGTCTCAATCTCTTGACCTTGTGATCCACCTGCCTCGACCTCCCAAAGTTCTGGGATTACAGGCATAAGCCACCACACCCAGCCTGTATCTTAGTTTTTAACAACAACTTTTAAACAGTAAAAAAGAAAAAGAAAACAGCTTATGGAATAAGGAGATAAAGAAAGCTTAAAACAACTTTGTGTTTTAAGCTAAGGGTTATTAGAAAAAAGTAAAAAGTTTAAAAAATTAAGTTAATAGAAATTTACAGTAAGCTAAGGTTAATTTATTACTGAAGAAAGAAGAATATTTTAAAATACATTTAGTGTAGCCTCAGTGTAAAGTATTTATAAAGCCTACAGCAGTATACAGTAATGTCCTAGGTCTTCACGTTCTCTCACCACTCACTTACCGGCTCACCCAGAGCCACCTGCTGTCCTACAACTTCCATTCCTGGTAAGTGCCCTATAGATGTGTACTATTTTTTAACTTCATACTATATTTTACTATACCTTTTCTATGTTGAGATACAAATATACTTACAATTGTGTTATATTTGCCTACAGTATCCAGTACAGTAACACTCTGTACAGGTTTGTAGTCAAGGTGCCATAGGCTATACCATACGGTTTAGGTGTGTGGTAGGCTACAACATCTAGGTTTGTGTAAGTACATTCTATGATGTTCACACAGTGACAAAACTGCCTAAGGACACATTTTTTAGAACATATCCCCTTTGTTAAGTGATACACAAAAGTACATTTGAAATAGAAAGTTAGCAAACTCTAAAGCAATATTAGTACAGCAAAAAGCTATGAAGTATCATTTACATATATGTTAAATTCCTATTTTAAAAATCAGAATCTCCTAATAACATCAACAATCAATCATTAACCAAAGAATATCGAAATAAGAATGCATGCAAAACATTTTAAAAGTTTAAAATTTCTAAAAATGAACTTACGTTGTATTTTTCTGTTATAACAAGCAGATATCATAATATCCTGGCAAATGACATATACAAATAAAATGATTATGAAACAGGTAATTTAAATATGACCTGCCAAACAATATTTATATTATAGTATTACTGATTTTTCTTAAATAAATTCATTATCAATCTACAATTAACAGTGATTATTATTTTAAAGGGAATTTGAGAATGTGCTTCTAATGTTTACCTCAATATAAATGGATGATATCAAGTTTTTACAGAATTAGAAAAAGCTATTCTAAAATTCATATGGACCAAAAAAGATTCCAATTAAACCAAAGCAATCCTAATAAAAAAGAGCAAAGTTGGAGGCATCATACTACCAGACTTCAAACTACACAACAAGGCTACAGTAACCAAAACAGCATGGCACTTGTACAAAAACAGACACACAGACCAATGAAACAGATTAGAGAACCCAGACCTAAAGCCACACACCTACAACCATCTGATGTTTGGCAAAGCCAACAATAATAAGCAATGGAGAAAGGAATCCCTATTCAATAAATAGTGTGAGGATAGCTAGCTAGCCATATGCAGATGAAACTGGACCCCAACCTTTCACCATATACAAAAATTGACTCAAGATGGATTAAAGACTTAAATGTAAGACCTCAAACTGTAAAAATCCTTAAAGAAAACCTAGGAAATATCCTTCTTTATTTCAGACTTGGCAAAGAGTTTATGGTTAATTCCTCAAAAGCGATTGTAACAAAAAAATTGACATGTGGAACCATATTAAACTACAGAGCTTCATCAAGGCAAGAAAAAACTATCAAGGGAATAAGCAGACAACTTATAGAATGGCAGAAAATATTCACAAACTATGCATCTTACAAAGGTCTAATATTCAGAATCTATGAGGAACAAGCCAAAAACAAACCCCATTAAAAAGTGGGCAAAGTACACAAACACTTCTCAAATGAAGACATACAAGCAGCCAACAAATATATGAAAAAATGCTCAACATCACTTATTCATGGGAGGAATGCAAATCAAAACTACAATGACATACCATCTCACATCAGTCAGAATGGCTTTTGTTAAAAAGGCAAAAACAATAACAGATGTTAGTGAGATTGTGAAGAAAAGGGAACACTTAAACACTGTTGTTGGGAATGTAAATTACTTCAGCCACTGTGGAGATCAGTTTCGCGATTTCTCAGAGAACTAAAACTTGAACTACCATTTAACTCAGCAATCCCATTATTGGGTAAATACCCAAAGGAAAATAAATCATTCTACCAAAAAGGTGCATTCACCCATATGTTCATCGCAGTGCTATTCATAATAGCAAATACATGGAATCAATGCATATCCCCATCAGCAGTGGACTGGATAAAGAAAATGAGGTAGACATACACCATGGAATACTACACCATTACAAAGAGAACAAAATCATGTTCTTTACGGCAACATGGATGCCACTGGAAACCATTATCCTAAGCGAAATAATGCAGAAGCAGAAAAACAAGTACCACATATTCTCGTTTATAAGTGGGAGCTAAACATTGGATACATATAGAGATAAAGATGTGAACAATACACACTGGGGAATACAAGAGGAGGGAGGGAGGGAAATGGGTAAGCATTGAGAAACTACCTACTGGGTCCTATGCTCACTACGTGAATGACAAGTTTCATTCATATTCCAGACTTCAGCATCACACAATGTACGTTTGTAACAAACCTGCACATGTACCCACTACATTTTACAATCCACTTACAAATTTATCAGATGTACTATTTTCAGTCTTTCTTCTATTAGTTGTAATTCTAAAATAAAAGTTGAAAAATAACTAATTCTAACGTTACTACTAGTTAGGTATTAAAGTCTTAAAGCTTTCGTATTTTAAAATGGGAATAAATATCTGGACTGTCTATAAATAAAGAAAAAACACAACAGGAAGAAAAAGTTACATTACTTACTTCTTACTGAACTGTCAATGGACTAGGGGACTTTGGGTGAAATTTCCCATTTACCCTCCTGACAAACCTCTGTAACTGAATCTTTTACTAACTCACTGAAACAGATTTCTCATGGGTATTATGACACATTCATTTCCTATTTACAATCTACTTACTGATCTACCAGATGTACTATTTTCACTCATTCCATCTATTAGTTGTAATTCACCATCAGTATTCAATTGTATCTCTTTAAGCCAAATGGTCCCACAATTTTGCTGTTTTAGATGTGACAACCTAAGCCCATTGCTATCAATTACTTCCAAATCCATTATGTGATATAGTTATTTTCAGAACAGAAGTTTGCTACTTACTAACTAGGATGCCATCCATGTTTGGTGATTAGAGTTCTCCAGTTTTGTACTGTGTGCTGGTGACGGCCCAGGTTCAACTTCATTACTGGAAGCAAAGTAGCCCCACTCTCTAGAAAGTAATGTTTTTTTACATTGCAGCCTTGAGTTATTACGAGCAGTGCTAACCTAGAAAGACCAAACAAATTTATCCTGACACACGATTCCTTAAGAAAACTTGCAGAAAGTACATTGAAAAGTAAAAATCAACAAAAATAATAAAGCAATTATAATATGAAAACTAAACCTTGGTTAAATTTTAAATAACCAGGTATCATTTAAAATTAAAGGGCTGCCCGGTGCGGTGGCTCACGCCTGTAATCCCAGCACTTTGGGAGGCAGAGGCGGGTGGATAATGAGGTCAGAAGATCGAGACCATCCTGGCTAACATGGTGAAACCCCATCTCTACTAAAAATACAAAAAAAAATTAGCTGGACGTGGTGGCGGGCACCTGTAGTCCCAGCTACTTGGGAGGCTGAGGCAGGAGAATGGCGTGAACCCGGGAGGCGGAGCTTGCAGTGAGCCGAGATCGCGCCACTGCACTCCAGCCTGGGCGACAGAGCAAGACTCCATCTCAAAAAATGAAAATAAAAAATAAAAAAAAAATTAAATTAAATTAAATTAAAGGGTCAATTATTATTGTTAACTTTTTTCCCTATCCAAAAAAAAAAAAAAAAAAAAAAACACATGCTGGAGAGACTGTGGAGAAATGGGAATGCTTGTACACTGTTGGTGTGAATGTAAATTAGTTCAGCCACTGTAGAAAGCAGTTTTGAGATTTCACAAAAAAACAGCTACTATTCAACCCAGCAATCCCATTACTGGGTATATACTGAAAGGAAAACGATCATTATGCCAAAAAAAAAAAAACACGTGCACTCACATATTCACCACCATGCTATTAACAATAGCAAAGACATGGAATCAACCTAGGTGCTCATCAATGATCGAAATGGATAAAGAAAATGTGATGCATATATACAATGGAAAACTATATAGCGATAAAAAAGAATAAAATCAAGTCCTTTACAGCAACATGGATGAAGCTGGAGGCTGTGATCCTAAGCAAGCTGATGTAGGAACAGAAAACCTAATACTGCACGTTCTCACTTATAAGTGGAAATTAAACATTGAGGATCCATGGACATAAACATGGGAATAATAGACACTGTGGACTACTAGAGAGGGCAGGAGAAAAGAGTGGTGGGTTTAAAAACTATCTATTGGGTACAGTATCAGTCCATTTTCATGCTGCTGATAAAGACATACCCAAGACTGGGAAGAAAAATAGGTTTAATGGACTCACAGTTCCATGTGGCTGGGAAGGCCTCAAAATCATGGTAGAAGGCAAGGAGGAGTAAGTCACATCTTACATGGATGGCAGCAGGCAAAGAGAGAGAAAGCTTGTGCAGGGAAACTCCTGCTTTTAAAACTGCCAGATATCATAAGACTTATTCACTATCACTAGAACAGCATGGGAAAGACCCACCCCCATGATTGAATTATCTCCCACTAGGTCCCTCCCCCAACACATGGGAATTATGGGAGCCACAAGATGAGATTTGGGTGGGGACACAGAGCCAAACCATATCAGGTACTATGTTCTCTACCTGCATGCAATATACCCATGTAACAAACCCACACAAGTACTTCCTATATTTAAAATAAAAATTGAAATGAAAAGAAAAGAAGTAAGTTCATTTATAAATTTTTAAAAGAAGCTAAAATTTGGGGGTTTTCTGACCTTGAGTTCTCTAGATGTTAATGCTTCAAGAAGATAATTTGTGAGGCTAGATGAGAAGGAGGCAAAGCCCTTAAGTTATGTTCAGTTCTCCGAACAATATTAATCTACATAGGAGGAGAGCTAAAAATTGCTAATGATTTAAAGCACTTACTTTAAGTAGATTACATGATGTTTCACTTAAAATTATTTCCATAACTCTTTAGGTATAATCCAAAAAAGCTAGAATGATGTAAAAATGAATAGTGTCAAGAAGTAGGTGGTAGGGCAAAAAGGAAATATTCAATAAACAGTACATTTCTTATCCACAAACAATAACCTGCCAGAAAAGAATGAAAGCAAAATATAAATATACAAAGACATACACATATATATTCTACATTTATCTGCTAGGCATAAATGTGATTCTTTCCAGACATCTATGAAGAAAAGAGTAAATCTTTCCAGAACAACTGCAGGGCTGCATCATATAACCTCTCAGGAACCTATAGCAGGAGATAAGCTAGATCTGTTTTGGGAGCCTTCTTTCCTAATTGTTCAGATTAGCTCCCATTGCCCCACTGGTCATCCTTAGGTTTTGAAGATGACTGAGTTTGACAGGCTCGTCATGGTTCTAATGGGAGTAGCACTGTCTAAGTGCTGCAAATGAATTTCTTTCTGATGATATTTAATTAAGCCTCATGTACACCTAATCTTTGTTAGAGTTGACAGAATTCAGAAAAATAGTCTAATAAGCAGGAAGCCATTTATTCTTGCATGTCCCAGGATATCCCAAGATAGTAACACCAAGTGATAATTCACTTGCTCCCACATGTGCAATGAAAAGGAGTCATAAACTTACTCAAAGTGGTAGTAGTAGCACTTATATTAGTCATAATACTAAAGAATGAAAAGAAAAATAATAGTGCAAGATTGAGGAGGAGAAGAAGAGAAATTAGAGAAAATACAGGAGGACGGGTAAGGGGAAGTAAAGAAAGATGAAAAGCAGGAAGAGGAAGAATAAAATGAAAAAAGTAATAGGAAAGAACAGGAAGGAGAAGCTGCATTTCTTTGTTCCTTACTTACACAGTCGGCAATGTACTTGAGGCTTTTATCTATATGTTCTCATCTGGCCCTCATGGCAAACCCCTGCCACTGAACCTTTTGCTAACTTACTGACAGATTTGTTTTGAGGGGAAACACAGGAGATTCTTTCAGAGTCTGAAAAGCAACAACTAAATACATCATATTACCACAACATAATGAGACATACCTAAGAAAAATTACTTAGGACACATTAATTGACCCTTTACAATCTACGCAGTGATCTACCAGATGTAAGATTTTCAGTAATTCTAGTAATTATAATTCACCATAGCTATTCAATTATATTTCTTTAAACTAAATGGCCCCAGTAGTTTTGCTATTTCAGATACATAGTAGAACAATCCAGGAACTGGCAAGCAAATTCCTCCCAAACTCATTGTATGGTGGAATCCTTTTCAGAACAGAAGCTTCCCCTTGTTCCTGACTGTGATGATGTCCATATTAGAGATTACATTTCTCTAGTTTTCCACTGGGTGCAGGTAACTGACAAAACCCGACTTCATCAACTGGAACCAAAGTGCCTCCATTACCTACAAATGATTGTTTTACTACCTCACCACCTGGAATTAATACCTACATGGAGTGCTAAACTCCAGAGACTAACCTTCTTCTAGCAAAGGTAACTAATAGATATATGTTAATCTTACAATGCAATCAGTAATAGAAAGCGAAATTTTAAAGAGAGTCATGACAAATTCAAAGGAAAAGAAGGAGGAGAAATATCTATATTAGACATTGCAATATCCCTGTAAAAATGTGGAAAGATTATTGCTCACAATTAAGAAGCCTTCAATGCATTCCTGTGCTTGATTGGATGGACATATGGATATATGGACATTTATAAAGACACACACACAAACACACACACACACACACACACACACAAACACATCTCTCAGTATGGACATCCATGGAGTATTCTGGAGAATAAAAGCAAGTGGTATAGTAATGGTAATAGTAGGTTCCAATTTTCATCTGAAAATAAAGTACCAAACTACAATTTGAAAACCTGAAGAGAGGCCTATGTGTGTTTCTAGGCATATCACTGTATATTCTGAATGTGTTTATATTTTAAACACACCCAGAAAGACACGACCTGACATGTGCTGAGAGATTATTAAGTATCTCATTATAAATCATTGCCTTATTTAAAAAGTTATATGAGTCGCTACTAATTTTGTTAATAACCAATAGAGTAATATATTTTATTTTTAAAAATGTACTTGCCCTGAGACACTAGAGAATCCTTTAACTTCTATGTGTCTCAGGATTTCCCTGCATAAAATTGGATAATGGGAAATATCCCTTCCAAACTAGATGGCAGAACTGGGACCAAATTCCCACCAGAAAATTGGAAACTGGATGAAAAGTATAAGGGAAAGGGTTTTCAAGCATTTTACATCAGGAAATGCATGACAGTGTCCATGAGAGAGAGGAAACAAATGAGGAGAACCACTCAGTTGTCCTCGCTGACTGCACAGAGAATGTAGGCTCTAGTGCAGGAAGAGGGAATCTAGGCAAAGCCTGTCAATTTTCTGCATTACCAGACTGAAATGAGAAATTGATGATCATCTCAACAAATGCATTGAAATATAGTAATTGACTAACATCTTTACCTGAAAAATATCAGCAAATGAGGAATAGCTGGGCTTCTACAACAAACATCCTCCTTAATTGTGTAAGATTTGATGCTTTATTCCTGAGATCAGGAACAAGACAAAAATGCCTGCACTCACTGTTTCTATGCAATAATGAGGCTGAATTCAAAGCAATAGAATAAGATGACAAGTTCTGTTTTATAATTTGGAATCTTTGATGGAGAAATCAAAAAACTTCATCATTTACAGCCATTATCTTCCCCACACATGTGTTTACAGTGACCTCAATGTTTGCACTTGGAAAAAAATATCCCTATCAGCATGAATATCCAAAGTCTTCTAGAAAATAAGTGAAGTTATTGATATTAAGTAGAATAGACTTCAAATGCGTATGAAAAATAACTCCACATACCCTTAGGGTAATAAATGAACATTTATTTATTATCTTATTTATTTGTAGAAAGTAAAAAGTTTTCTCTTCAATGTTTTCCTTCTTGTTAAAGAATAAATTATAAGTGTTAGAAATAATAGTTTCTTTTAAAGACTAACTGTCTTCAAGCCTTCTTGCTTTGTGCTAATAACTCTTTGTTAAGCCCTATCCTATGTAACTGTTGGACATGCTCACAGGCACGTTCCAGCTCACAGTCTATGCCCCTTCCTAATTTGGAAATGTTATTGCTTCCTTAAACCTTTTGTAAGCAACTTCTTTGTTCTTCCTTGCACTTACCTATTTAGGAAAGTTTCAGGTTATTAGCAAATCGGGTATTGGTTTAAGATTGTGAGGTCCCACTCCAGCCAATGGATGCAGGACACAGCAGTAAGGACAACCCAAATGTGTAAGGGATAAATATGTCCGCTTTTCCTTTGCAAGTGTGCTCTCACCATTGTACCATCTGCGATTGAGCACCCTTTCTGCAGAAAGTAAAGATGGCCTTGCTGAGAGATCTTTTGTCTCTGTGCTGACTTTTCTTCACAGCAGCGATTATCTATTTCTAACAATTTTGGTATTTCTAACATTATTACTAATAAAAATGGTGCTAATGTTAACAGGACTGATAGTAGTAGTTTATGGTAGAAATAGTAATGGTAATAACCAAATAGAAAGTTTACTTAATGGTTTTGTACCCGGCAGACAAGGCAGTTCAGGCTTTCATGTGGATTTCCACATTATACACTGAAAATAAATGTGTGCCAAAAAAGCACTTAATAACTCCAAGTTCAGGTAAGACTTAACTGAAAAACATTCAGAAAGTACATTTGGACAATTAAAATCCATAAAAATACAAAAGCTATCATAATATCCAAACAAAAATTTCATGCTTCAAAAATGAAGGATCAATTTCACAATTCATACATGTATTGAAACCTCACATTGTACCCCATAAATGTTTATAAGTATTGTTAGCCAATTAAAAATAAAACTTAAAAAAACAATTTTTAAAATAAATAAAAATATAAGGTCCAGAAGATGGCAGATAGGAGACAGAGCTAATGGGCATCTCCCACTTGGACAGACAGAACAGTGTGTGGAGACTCACACCATGGACTTTTGCTCCAAGAACTACTGCAGGAACATACCAGAAAAACCAAAAGAATTTACAGATCCTCTGAAAGAAGTAGAGCACCCCTGCAAATTCTGCAAGACAGGGGAAAACCTGTGAGTTCTCCAAAAGTCAGAGAGGGAAAACCTGCCTCTGAACACACGTCCCCACTGGTGAACCTGAAAATTCAGTTTATGGGAGAGGGATTTAACCCTACCTAGAGCTGAAATGGATTTAGCATGAAATATAAAAGCAGAAGCAGCAGTGGGAAAAGCCCTGTAGGGACTGTCATTCTCCAGCTCCAGCCCAAGGAAGACATTCATGATTATATCTCACAGGGGCCCTTGAGGGAGGCAGACAGCGATATTAGGTAGGATTCACAGGATGAAACAAGCTTCTACGTGAACTTTGTAATAATTTCAACTGGTATAAACTCTCTTGAGCAGAATCTGGGGGGCAAGTGGAACTGCTGAAGAAGGGAGCTCAGGAGCAAATGCCAACTCCAAAATTAAGGAACGAAGCCTCAAAGTCATGTTTGCTTTCTTTTTTTTTCTTTTTTCTTTCTTTCTTTTTTTTTTTTTTTCCTGAGACAGAGTCTCTCTCTGTTGCCCAGCTGGAGTGCAGTGGCACGATCTCAGCTCGCTGCAACCTCCACCTCCTGGGTTGAAGCAATTCTCCTGCATCAGTCTCCTGAATAGCTGGGATTACAGGTGTGCGCCACCACACCCAGCTAATTTTTTTTTTGTATTTTCAGTAGAGACGGGGTTTTACCATGTTGGTCAGGCTGGTCTTGGACTTCTGACCTCGTGATCTGCCCGCCTCGGCCTCCCAAAGTGCTGGGATTACAAGCAGGCATGAGCCACCACACCCGGCCTTTTTTTTTTTTTTTTTTTTTTTAAGATGGAGTCTCACTCTGTTGCCCAAGCTGGAGTGCAGTGGCACAGTCTCCACTCACTGCAACCTCCACCTCCCAGGTTCAAGCAATTCTCTTGCCTCAACCTCCCAAGTAGCTGGAATTACAGGTGTGTGCCACCACACCCAGCTAATTTTTGTATTTTTAATAGAGACAGGGTTTCACCATGTTGGCCAGGATGGTCTTGAACTCTTGACCTCATGTGATCCACCTGCCTAGGCCTCCCAAACTACTGGGATTACAGGTGTGAGCCACCACACCCAGCCATGTTTGAGTTTTCAGCCAGGAAGCTCATAGCCTGGAGCAAGGTCTGAGTCCTGCATGAAGGCTGCCTGGAGATAAACTGAACACTGTTAGTGGGGAACAGTGGGAGCAAGATTGGCCTTGCCAACTGCGTGGGAGCAGGATGAGTTCTATCACTACCAGCATTCTCCTACTTTCTTAAAAACAGAGGCAGCCATAATCCCTGATGGAAAATAATCCCATTGGCCAGAGAACTACCTCCTGCTCCCCCACGGTGGCCACAACCACTGACCCACACCTGATAGTACTTCTCTACTCACCTTGCTAGCCAATCGCAAAAGACACAAACTCTTGGAAGCTTTGTGGCCCTGCCCATTGCCTGAGAAACCCAAATACTTATCCTGGCCAATGTAGGGCAAGCTTATATCCCCCTTTTACTATTGCAACTGGTACTCTCTTGATAGCACCACCTCCTGGCTGGAGACCAACCAACTCAGAACATTACAGCAATTCATAACAAAATAACCATACTCCAAGAAACAAGAAAACAACAACTAATTCCACGGCTTGCAACATCTGGCTAACCACAGGCCCTGAGTCTGTCTATGTGACAACTTCACTGCTAGCATAACCAGCATTCAAGAAAGTCAGCACACTAAACATATCTACAACCAAGGACTCTCAAAGAGTCTACTTCACTCCCCTGCCACCTCCACCAAAGCAGGTTTTGGTATTCATGGCTGGCAGACCTAAAGAGAGATCACATCGTGGGACTCTTTGCAGACACTCCCCAGCACCAGCCTGGAGACTGGTAACCCCGCGGGGAGGCTAGACCCAGAACAACAACAACAATCACTGCATTCTGGCTCCCAGGAAGCTGCATGCCTAGGGGAACGGGGAGATCCCCATCAAGGGATCACCCCATGGAAAAAATGAATCTGAACAGCAGTCCTTGAGTTCCAAATCTTTCCACTGAAATAGTCCACCTAAATGAGAAGGAGTCAGAAAAGTAATTCTGGAAATATGACAAAACAAGGTTCTATAACAACCCCGAAATACCACACTAGCACCACAGCAATAGAACCAAACCAAGAAGAAATCTCTAAATTGCCAGATAAAGAATTCAGAAGGTTGACTATTAAGCTACTCAAGAAGATACCAGAGAAAGGCAAAAACCAACTTAAAAAAATTAAATTATATAGGATATGAATGAAAAAATCTTCGGAGAAATAAATATCATAAAGAAAAAAACTATCACAACCTCTAGAAATGAAAGACACAGAGGAATACAAAATGCACCGGAAAGTGTCAACAAGACACTACAGCAAGTAGAAGAAAGGACTTCAGAGCTTGAAGACAAGGATTTCAAACTCATCAAATCAGACATAGATAAAGAAAAAAAAATTAAAAATGAATTTAAAAGGCCTCTGAGAAATTTGGGATTACGTTAAATGGCCAAACCTAAGAATAATTGGTATTCCTGAGGAAGAAGAGAAATCTAAGTTTGGAAAATTCGAGGGAATAATTGAGAAAAACTTCCCTGGCTTTTCCCAGAGAGCTAAACATCCAAATACAAGAAACTCTAAAACAAACAAACAAAAAACAAAACCTGGGAAATTCTTTGCAAAGTGATCATCACCTAGGCCTATACTCAACAGATTATCTAAAGACAAAAGAATCTTAAGAGCTGCGAGGCAAAAGCATCAGGTAACCTATATAGTAGGAAAACCTATCAGATTAACAGCAGATTTCTCAGCAGAAACCTTACAAGCCAGAAGAGATTGATATCCTATCTTTAGCCTTTTCAAACAAAATAATTATCAGCCAAGGATTTTGTATCCCACAAAATTAAGCTTCATAAATGAAGGAGAGATAAAATTTTTCAGACAAATGCTGAAGAGAATACACCACTACCAAGCCAGCACTACAAGAAATGCTAAAAGGAGTTCTAGATCTTCTAACAAAACCTTGAAATACACCAAAATAGAATCTCCTTATAGCATAAATTTCTAAGGGACTATAAAACATTAACACAATGAAAGAAAAGGTATTCAAGCAACAACTATTCAGGAAAATATATTCAATATTCAAATGTATTAATTTATTTCATTCTTCTTTCTTAAATGATACCTTCCTAGTCTTTTGTTTTGTTTTTTCTTTTTTTTTTTTTTTTGAGACAGAGTTTCACTTACATTGCCCAGGCTGGAGTGCAATGGCAGGATCTCGGCTCACTGCAACCTCCGCTTCCCAGGTTCAAGCAATTCTTCTTCCTCAGCTGCTGAGTAGCTGGGATTACAGGCTCCTGCCACCATGTCCAGCTAATTTTTGTATTTTTAGTAGAGACAGCGTTTCACCATGTAGGCCAGGCTGGTCTTTAACTCCTGACCTCAGGTGATTCGCCCCCCTCAGCCTCCCAAAGTTTTGAGATTACAGGCGTAAGCCACCACGCCCTGCCTGAAGTAAACATCTTGTCTCTAAAAGGCAAATGTAGACAAATGGGTGAGGCCTATTTCCAACATTTAGCATGCTCTCTGATTCACTATCAAAACGGAATGTGGAGTTTGCTTTTAGTTTTGCAATGCCTCATGCACGTAGTTAATATCAAACACCCAAAGAACTGAAGAAAATTAATCCGAAATGATTACTGTTAACTAGCTTTAGTAAGTTGGTTAGACAAGACATATACAAAAACCAAAAGCTTCCCTTAGTACCAGCAATCATTATATTAAAACATATTTGGAAACTACTGATTTTGATAATGGGGAAAGGCAATTCATTCCAACATTACTGCTTCGGACAACTAAGCAAGCTAAACAAAATATATTTTACAGCTCCTCTTGAAAGTCTCAAACACCTTCCTGTAAGTGAGGAAATGCCTGGCCAAAATCTAGGAGACAAGAACCAAGAAACGTAAGCTCTGTCTCATAAGTGGTTTGCACAGATGACATTTGCTAAATGCCTGACCCCAATCCAGTTCTCCTGGCCATAACTGGAACCTTACTCTCACTCCCACCTGAAATTATCAATATCCAGGCGATCATTCACCTATTATCCCGCTACTAAGCTTGACACAAATGTAGCAAAGTTTCATATCCTTTCTTCATCAAAGCAAATATAATTGTAGATACAGAGCAGAGAAGAAATATGTCCATTTTATCGGACTGTTAAAGGTCTAGAAAAGCTTTGAAGGCAAACATCTGGAAAACGATTCCTATTTTGACCCAGTTCTGCCAGTATTTATTTCTTCCACTGGCCCTAGGGGATTTAACTCACAAAGATGATGATAGGCTGTTTACCATGCAATGAGAAGCACTAAACACACCAGTTGGCATGGAGTCAGAGACTACTATATATCTCATTATATTTCATTGCCTTATTCCGTAAAAATAGAATTTCATTAAAAAAAGTAAATAGAAGTAAAAGGACAAGAGCTAAAACAAGAACTTACATTTCTGAAATGCCCACTTACACCACATCAATGTACTTAGGAATTTTCTGTGAATCTTCTCATACGTTCTCACAACAAACACATGATGATGAATCCACTACACACTCATTGACATGGATTTGTCATGAAGATTCGTGAGAACACGTGTGAAAATTCACTTGGATCCTCAGATATAACAATGCAGCAGATATTATGTTTCATGTAACATAAAGGGCATATTTAAAGAAGAAAAATGACCCATGAAATTTCCTATTTACAACCTACTTAACCATCTATGAGATAAGTTTGTCAGGAATTCTATTACCTATAATTCACCATCACTATCAACTATCTTTCTTTACAACAAATTGTCCCAAAATCTTTATAATTCTGATGAATGAGACAGCAATCCAGAAACAGCTGGCAGCAGGTACTTTCAGATTTATGATGGGAAGGCAGAGTTCTCCTAAGTGACTTGCTTGGAACTTACTGACTGTGATGATGTGGAATGAGAATTTCTTTAATACAGCAATGCATTAAAAATGGAGATATCACTGTCTATCTAGAGTCATTAAAACATTAAAACCATTAGATTTGTAAGGGTGGGAGAGAACAAAGAGACACTACACAAAGTACTTACTTCACAAACCATCAGTATTAACTATCAATAAATAACGGAAAAACAAGAATCTTAGCAAAAAGAAAGACGAATCTGTAGAAGTGCCCAACTGTATACTCAGATCTCCGAAACATACAAACATTTCCAAGAGGAGACTTCAGGATGGCTAACAACTTAAAGCCCTTACCAGATGAATTAGGTGGAGCAATGCTTTACTGAAAACTATTTAAAAATCCTATAGGTGTAAACATCTCACTAGAATGGTCTCAAAAATAATGAACGATATCAGAGGTAAGATGGTAATGAATAGGTAATATGTAAAAATTATGAGCTTTTTGTACATAGGCCTCTACATGTCTAAGGATTTCCAGGCTCTTACCATTTGGTAATCGGAGATTACTGTTTCCAGATCAGATGAAGGAATAGTGACCAAATTAATCTGCTGTCTAAAACAAAGAAAAACCAGATATATACAGAAAAACATGTCTTTCAGACACTGTAGAGTGATCTGTGAGAGAGGGGACACATTAGAACAGTCCGTCCATTCTCCTGCCAACTTCTCAGAGAGAGAATATTGACTCCAGTGCAAAGAATGGGAACCCAGGCAAAGCCTGGCAATTTTCAATATTAACAGATTAAAATGGAAAAAAAGAGATCATTTCAATTGATGCGGAGAAATATGTGACTAAATCTAACATCCATATCTAAAAATAATAACAGCAAATCAGGCATAGAATCGAGTATATCCTCAATTGGTTGAAGGGCTTCTATGAAAACGCACAGCTAACGGAAGACTTAATTGTTAACATTTTTATGTTTGACTCCTAAGATCAGGAACCAGGTGAGGATGTCCCATTCACCATTTATATGCAACAATTATGCCAAATTAAAGTAAATGATCAGGTAAGGACATAATATTTTATAATTTGCAATCATGGATGAATAAAATCAAGTCTGTCATCTTCAACCATTAACTTCCCCTTACCTGTGTTTGCAGTGGCGTCAACGCTTGCACTGCAAATAAATTATCTCTATGGGCATAGATATCCACAGGGTATTCTAGAAAAATATGTAAATTGAATCATAAAGCAGAATACATTACAATATGTATATGAAAAACCACCAATGAAATCCTATGAGTGATAACTGATGATACCCTTCTTAGTACTAATATAATAGCAGTGTTACTAGGACTGATACCATTAGTTATAGTACTAGTACTGCTTGCAGTAGTACTAACAGGACAATTTGCTTAATGACTACATGCCTGGCAGATATGTACTTCAGATTTTCATATGCATTTCCACATTCCATAACTACAACAAATTGTTCCCAAAGAAACGATATCCGAAAGTTTTGATTTGTCAGTGATTGAGGACATGTATATAACGTACATTTGCAAATGGAAAAAGACACACAGAAATGCAGAGATAATCACAGTAATCACAGATAACCATATAATCACAGAACAGTTTTGATTTGTCATAGCAATTGAGGACATGTGTAGAACATACATTTGCAAATGGAAAAAACCAGAAATGCAGAGATAATCACAGTAATCACAGCTAATCATGTGATCATAGAACAACATTAAGACTGCTACGCAGCGTTAACCTCACAGAAACCATCCACATTAACCTCAGAAAAACAGAAAATAAGAAGAAATTCATCTTGCTGCTACCTGTCCTCTGATCTCTGACCTAATAAAAGGTGTTTATTGAACATGCTGTCATTTTTACCAAAGTACTAGTAATACAGTCTCTACCGCTATGATTACTCTACTACCAGTGTCACTACAAGGAGGTGAAGGAGAAGCAGCAGTAGCTACATAACTGATGACTTACATGGTTTGCAGTGTCCATGAGGCCTGTAGAGATTATCTCTTTTGACCCTCACAACAAACATGTGCCACTGAGTATTTTACTGAATCAGTGGCTCAGGTTCGTTGCAAGGATTAAGGAGACAACATTTGTAGACTCTTTGGGAACCTAGAAAAAAACAAAGAAGCTACGTAATTATAATATGACTATGCAACATTGAATACCTAAAATAAATGACATACTAATTTACTATTCACAACCTGTGTAACTATCAGCATGTATATTTTCTTTCCCATTTGTATTAGTGATAATTTCCTGGTTCTGCAGTTGGAGGATGAAAATCTTGAAGGGGCTGGTAGTAAAGCTCTACCAATCCATTGTAAGAATTCCGACTTCCCAAAATTTGCAAATCACTGATTATGATACTGAATGAGGCTATCTATACCGAATGCAATTCTACAAATATAGACAATGATTCTCAACCCAGAAATACGTAAAATGTGACAACTACAAGATAAGTTTATACTGGGAAGAAAAAAAGACAGATTAAAAAGAATGACAACCTTCTCCAAACAACCAGCGATAATTGAGTGAAGACTCGTTGAAAAGCTAAATTTCTCTAAAAATATACATATGTATACATATATTCACAGATATCCATGCATACATAAGATAATGTCCCTGAAAAGCACACACACAAAAAATTGAAGGGATTATGTAATTCAGGCTTTATTCACAATAATAATGAGCAAGCCCTATATTGTTCATTTCTCTCAAATTCATTGCCTGTCCATATCTAACTCTATTTTTTTAAAGAATTTTGATAAAATTCTTCTACTGCTTATTGCCTAATGAAGTTCAAAGATATTAATAAAAAGATATATGAAGGAAAAATGTGGAGAATCTACCACAGGAGTTCCTAAATGGTATTCTTAACAGTTCTATAATAATAATCAACACTAGGTAATTGCCGTTTACAAATTCAAACTTTCCAAGAAAACCAAGTTGGTGTCTGATATGACACGTTAAATGAAGCAAATGGCTGTGAAACTTATGTTGAGCTGACAGTTCATACAAATTCATGATGTGATAGGCCAGTTGTACAATTAGAAGTAACTCTTGGTGACTTAACAACTCTGTTTATGCAGGATATTAATTTATTGAATATTTAATTGAGTATACAAAGGGAGGTGGTTATCTTTCTGGAATCATCTGAAAAAATGATGAGAACTGGTTGGAAATGGGGCAAGAATTAAAGACAAAAAATGACAAAATTATCTTTCCTGTTTTCCAGCCACAATCATACATCAAAAAAAGAATGTATTCCAAACAAAAATAAATCAAAAATTGCTAGGACAAATAAAGTTTTCACAGATATAGACACAAAACTATTTAGTTTCCTTTAGTAGACATAACATAGGTTTGCCTGGATAAGTATTTTTCATAATTTTAAATGACTAGGGGCCAGGCATGGTAGCTCACAGCTGTAATCCTAGCATTTTGGGCATCCAAGGAAGATGCATCATCTGAGCACAGGAGTTCACGACCAATATGGGGAAACCCCATCTCTACTAAACACACAAAAATTAGCTGGGTGTAGTTGCCGGTGCCATTAATCCCAGCTACTTGGGAGGCAGAGGCAGGAGAATCCCTTGAATCTGGGAGGTGGGGGCTGCAGTGAGCCGAGATCCCCCCATTGCACTCCAGCCTGGGAGATGAGGGTAAAACTCAAAAAAAAAAAAAAAAAGCTAGGATGGTAACATTTAAGTAAGAAGAACCTGCCCAGGTTCCCAATCAAGCCTGTTTATGCAAATGAAGTACTGAAACTTAAAACTCAGTTCTGATTGGTTGATACACCAGACCCTGGATTGGTGGACGTGAGTGACCTTTAATTGGTTGGTTTAGGGGAGTCCTGAAAGTCCCAATGTTAAATAGTGTAGGTTTTCAGGGAACTCAGAGTGCCTCTGTGACTCCTAGTTAGCAAATGGCCACTTTGCTTTATTTGAAATTTAGGCCTAGTGACCCACTCAGGATCCATCTTGAAGAATTAGCTCAAACATGGCAGCACACAGCACTTCCTTTCATCACAGCACCAGCAAACTGCTCTGGGTCCATCTAGTCCCACACATGGATCCCAGTGGCAGGGCACTAGCCAACTGCACTAGAGCCATTTACTTCAAATAAATGATGATTTACTTATGAGGCACTCAGGTACCTCTTAAATTTGAACAAAAGTCTCTTGGGTTAAGTTGCTTTTGGTTTCCTGCTAGAGTGAGTTTAAAGTCTCAAGAATCAGGCCAACACTATCCTGGTAGGGGTCTCTTACAGACATCTGTTAAAAGAGGATAAAACAATTTTACAGAGGAGGCAACTGCTTCCAAATATGAGGAAGATAAATACTTTTAGGGTAGAATGCAGAAAAATTCTATACCTGGGGGAAGCCAGCTAAAAATACATGGATATTGGAAAGTTAACCCAGTAAGGCCAGCCAGGAGGCTTCCTGAAGGTGTCCCTTTCAGAGATTTGATTAATTTGATACCTTAAATGTTCCCAATTCACCCTGGCTGGAATATTTCTTCAGGCACAGCCGCAAGTGTTAGCAACAGCACAAACACCACCCTGTGCAGTGAGGCGATAATCTAAAGCAATGTGGTCATCTAGGACCATGAAAGCAAGGGAGTCTAGGGACTTCTGTTGTGCCCTAGTGGCTTGGGCAGTGGAATGAGCAATTTTGTTAACAGTGCAAGAAAAATTTTTGACCATATATTCACTCCAAGCAGAACCTAGTCCAAACCAGGACCCCAGAAACCTTCCTAATCTAGCTTATTCACTAGAGTTAATTCCTCTGGGTACATCACCTCCTTCAAGAGTGTCCCAAACTGTAATGTAAAGGGTTCACAATTGGGGTTGGATTGTGGCCTAAGACTCTCATATAGCTCTTGGAAAGCAGGCTGGGTAGCATTGGTGAGGCTAACAGAATAGATCAAAATTTGGGTAAAAGCTGCAACAACTAGCACAATGAATACAACAGGACCTCACATGTCAACATGAACATTAAATGTCAATGGTCCAAATGCTTCACTTAAAAATACAGAATAGTGAAATGGATAAAAATCCACCAAGTATCTGCTGTCTTCAAGAGACTCACATAACACATAAGGACTCACATAAATTTAAGGTAAAAAGGTAGAAAAAATATTCCATGCAAACAAAAACCAAAAGTGAGCAGGAGTAGCTATTCTTATGTCAGACAAAACAGACTTTAAAGCAACAAGAGTTAAAAAAGACAAAGAGGGAAGTTATATAATGACAAAAGTGTCAGTCCAAAAGGAAATGATCACAATCCTAAATATATATGCTGCTAACACTGGAGCTCTCAAATTCATAAAACAATTATTACTAGACCTAAGACACGAGATAGATGGCAACACAATAATATTGCGGGACTTCAATACTCCACTGAGAGCCCTAGACAGATCATGAAGACAGGAAGTCAACAAAGAAACAATGGACACACACTATACCTAAAACAAATGAATTTAACAGATATTCACAGAGCATTCTACCCAATAACTGCTGAATATACATTCTTTTCATCAGCCCATGGAACACTCTCCAAGATAGATCATATGATAAGCCACAAAAAAACAGTCTCAATAAGTTTAAGAAAATCAAAATTATATCAGGTACCCTCTCAGGCCGCAGTGGAATAAAATTGAAAATTAACTCCTAAAGCGACACTCAAAACCATACAAATACATGGAAATTAAATAATCGGCTCTTGAATGATACTTGGGTCAACATTGAAATCAATATAAATTTTAAAAATTATTTTAACTGAATAACAGTGACAGAATTTATCAAAACCTCTATGATACAGCAAAAGCAGTGCTAAGAGCAAAGTTCATAGCATTAAATGCCTACATCAAAAAGTCTGAAAGAGCACAGACAATCTAAGTTTACACCTCAAGTAACTAGAGAAACAAGAACAAACCAAACTCAAGCCCAGTAGAGGAAAAGAAATAATAAAAATCGGAGCAGAACTAGATGAAGTTGAAACAAAAAAATACAAAAGATAAATGAAAAAGCTGTTTCTTTGAAATGAGAAACAAAATTGATAGAGCATGAGTGAGATTAACAAAGCAAAGAGAGATCCAAGTAAGTTCAATTAGAAATGAAACGAGAGGTATTACAACTGTTACCACAGAAGTACGAAAGTTCATTTACCGGCACCATGAATATCTGTATACAAACAAACTAGAAAATCTAGAGGAGATGGATACATTCCTGGGAATATACAACCTTTCTAGATTAAATCAGGAAGAAACAGAAACTCCAAACGGGCTAATAACATGTAGCAAGATTAAAACAGTAATTAAACACTGTCAACAAATAATTCTGGGACCAGATGGTTTCACAGCTTAATTCTATCAGGCATTCCAAGAAGAACTGGTACCAATCTTACTGAAACTATTCCAAAAGATAGAAAAAGAAGGAATCCTCCCTAAATCATCCTATGAAGCCAGTATCACCCTAATACTAAACCAGGAAAGGACCTAACAATAAAACAAAACTATAGACCAATATCTTTGATGAAGATAAATGAAAAACTCCTCAACAAAATACAAGCTAACTGAATTCTGCAGCATATCAAAAAGATCAACTGCGTTTCATACCAGCGATTATTTAACATATACAAGTCATTAAATGTGATACATCTCAAAAAAAGAATTAAAAACAAAAATTATATGATCATCGCAATAGATTAGAAAAATCATTTAAAAAATCCAGCAGCACTTTGTGATTAAAACCCTCACAAAAACTGGCCTAGAAGGGACACACTTCAAGGTAATAAAAGCGGTCTATGACAAACCCACAGCCAACGTTATACTGAAGGGGAGAAAAGTTGAAAGCAATCCCCTGAGAACTGAAACAAGACACAAATGTCCACTTTCAACACTTATATTCAACCTAGTACTGGAAGTCCTATCCAGATCAATTAGACAAGAGAAAAAAATAAAGGGCGTCCAAACTGGAAAAATGGAAGTCAAACTCTTACTGTTTGCCAGTGATATGATTGTACACCTACAAAACCCTAAAGACTCATCCCAAAAGCTCCTAAATCCGATAAATGAATTCAGTAAGGTTTCATGATACAATATGAATGTACACAAATCAGTAGCACTGCTATACACCAACAGTGACCAAGCCGAGAATCAAATTAAGAAGTCAACCCATTTTCACCAGTTGCAAAAAATAAAATACTTAGGAATATACCTATGCAAGGAGGTGAAAGAGCTCTACAGGGAAACTACAAAACATTGTTAAAAGAAATCACAGACAAATGGAAACACATCTCATGCTCATGGATGCGGAGAATCAATATTGTGAAAATGACCATAGTGCCAAAAGTAATCTATAGATGCGATGCAATTTCCATCAAAATACCATCATCATTCTTCATAGAACTAGAAAAAGCAATCCTAAAATTCCTATGGCACCCCCAAAGAGCCCCTATAGTCAATGCAAGATTAAGCAAAAAGAACAAATCTGGAGGCATCACATTATCTGACTTCAAACTATACTACAAGGGAAGGGTGGGAGGGGGGTAAAGGATAAAAGACTACACATTGGGTACAGTGTACACTGCTCAGTTGACAGATGCACCAAAATCTCAGAAATCGTCACTAAAGAACTTTTCCATGCAACCAAATACCGCCTGTTCCCCCAAAACTATTGAAACAAAAAGGATAGATTGCTATTTGTTAACTTTCTTTCCTATTGAGCACTCATATCTTATAGGAAGTCTTACTAGGAATTATTGTGTTTGATTTTTTGATGCCAAAAACTCTCTGGCTTTAATGTGTCAGGAAGACAACATTGTAAAAAGCTGGAGAAGAAGGAGGTAAAGTCATTCTCATTCATGGTTTTAGGGCTCGGTTCTCTGAATACTAAGAACTCTTATGAGAAAAGAGTTGAATATTGCTAATGACTTAAAACACTTACCAGATGTTTTAGGTTGCACAATGCTCTATTGAATATTATTTCAGACCTCCATTAGTGTAATAGTATAACTAGAGTGCTCTGAAAAATTTTTAGTGACAAGAGGTAAGATGGTGGGACAAAAAGGAAATTTGCAAAAAAAATGAGCATGTTTTTTGTCCACAAGATATAACCCATCAGAAAACATGATGAAAATAACAAAAAGATAAATATATATACATACACATAATTACTATGCACAAATCTATATTATTTCCAGACATCGATGAATAAAACAGCAAATCTGTCCAATGAACCCGGAGGTGGATGGCACAACCTATTATGAACCCATTTCAGGGGATGAGTTAGATCTACTTCGAAAGCCCATTCCCAATTGCTGAGGCTAACCTCCATTGACCAGTTGTCCACATTTGGCTATCACAGTTCAAATGGCAGCAACGTTGCTCCTGCGCTGAAAGTGAATCTTTTGTTGGAAAACTTATGTTTCATTGTCACGTGTATGTACTTCATTAGAGTCAAGAATAACTTCCAAAATATAGACTATTAAGAAAGAAAACATTTGGCACTACAGGTCCCAGCATATCCCACCTATTACAGTGTGATAATTAACTTCCTTCCAGTTTTAATTAAAAGTGAGTGATAAAACTACTCATCATGGTGTTAGTATTACTTAGTAGTAATACTGTTGAAAAGACCAAGAAAAGGGGAAAGAAGTTAAAGAAGAATGGGAGGAAGACGAGGAGGAGAAGAGGAGGAGTCAGATGAGGAAGGGGAAGGAAAAGAGGAAAAAGGTGAAGAACAGGAAGAAGAGAAAGAGGAAAAAGAAAAGAAAGAAAACAACAGGAGGAATGTTATTCCATTTCCTTACTTCTCATTTATTTTTAAATTTTTTTTATTTTCATAGGTTATTGGGGAACAGGTGGTGTTTGGTTACATCAGTAAATTCTTTGGTGGTTGTGATATTTTGTTGCACCCATCACCCAAGCAGTATAAACTGAACCCAATTTGTTGACTTATCCCTCACCTGCTTCCCTTCCTTTCCCCCTGAGTTCCCAAAGTCCATTTTGTCTTTCATTATGCCTTTGCATCCCCATAGCTTAGCTCCCACATGTGCCTGAGTATATACAATGTTTGGTATTCCATTCCTGAGTTACTTCACTTAGAATAATATTCTCCAGTCTCATCCAGGTTGCTGCAAATACCATTAATTAATTCCTTTTTATGGCTGAGTAGTCACAGAATTAGAAAAAAACAATCCTAACATTCATATGGAACCAAAAAAGAGCCTGCATAGCCAAAGCAAGACTGAGCAAAAAGAACAAATCTAGAGGCATCACATTACCATTAATATGTGTTATCAAACACATATTAATGTATATGTGTTATCAAACACATATTAATGTATATGTGTTATCAAACACATATTAATGTATATGTGTTATCAAACACATATTAATGTATATGTGTTTGAGCCTGGGAATATTCTTTAATATTATGCCCAGACAGATAACATGGATTAATGAAAAAGGGTTGAATGGAGATTTTATGGAAGAGATGACTAGTTTTTGTTAAATATGTTTGCATATTTAATAATTAAATATGTTAAATATGTTTTGTTAAATATGTCACTAGTTAAATTGAGAACATGCTTTGGCATGATGTGGCTACTGTTGTCATTGAGGACAGTCAGGGGGCTCAGTACACTATGATCTCATATAACCCTCATTACCAGCTACCTTTCCAGACAAGAAAATATCAAGATTCCACATCACAGGTTTATCTTGAAGGTTAAATACTGCAATATATGTGCTACAAATTACCACAGATATAATGACAACATCTCATCTTTGGATTCCCTATCCAACATAATACATCCATTCCTGACCTTTGCACTACCTACTTGGAAACCTCTTTCCTTTGTCATGGGTTAGGATTAACCACATAATTTACTTAATTTAAGACCTGAAGGTCTCTAGAGGAAGGGTCCCCAGTCCCCAGGCCATGGACCGGTACCAGTCCGTGGCCTGTTAGGAACTAGGCTGCACAACCGGAGGTGAGAGGCAAGGAAGCCAGCATTACCACTTCCTGTCAGATCAGTGGCAGCATTAAAATCTCATAGGAGTGTGAACATTATTGTGAACTGCATGTGTTGGAGATCTACATTCTGCACATCTTATCAGAATCTAGCTAGAGAATCTAATGCTTGATGATCTGAACTGGAACAGTTTCATCCTGAAACCATCCCCCTATTCCCAGTCCATGGAAAAATTATCTTCCACAAAACCGGTCCCTGGTGCCAAAAAGGTTGGGGCCTTTGCTCCCGAGAGTATAAAAGTGAGGAGTCTGCCAAGGCCATAGTATCTAAACCAGTACCAACCTCACCCTACAATGACGACAGAAGGCCTAGATCTTTGAACTGAAGTGAACATCTTGTCTCTAAAAGATAAATGTAGAAAAATGGGTGCGGCCTATTTCCAACATTTAGCATGCTCTCTGACTCACTATGAAAATAGAATGTGGAGTTTGCCTGTAGTTTTGTAATGCCTCATGCACATAGTTACTACCAAACACCCAAAGAACTGAAGAAAATTAACCAAAAAGGATGACTACTGTTAACTTGCTTTAGTAAGTTGGGTAGACAAATAAGACATATACAAAAACCAAAAGCTTCCCTTAGTATCAGCAATCATTATATTAAAACATATTTGGAAACTACTGATTTTGATAATGGAGAAAAGGTAATTCAGTTCAACATTACTGCTTTGGACAACTAAGTAAGCTAAGCAACATACATTTTACAACTCCTCTTGAAAGTCTTAAAGACCTTCCTGTAAATGAGGAAATGCCTGGCCAAAATCCAAAAGACAAGAACAAAGAAAGGTAAGCCCTGTCTCAAATGTGCTTTGCACAGATGGCAGTTTCTTCTAATATGATGAGGTTCAAGTCCATCTTCCATATACCTACCAGAGTTTTCCTTTAAAAATATTAGACAGACTATACCAATCCTTTGCTCAAAGGCTTCAATAGCTGCTCATATCATTCAAAATAAAATCCAAGCGAAATCGTTGCCCTATAAGAGGCCTTCTCTGATCTGTCCCACCCCCTGCCCTTTTGACTCCACCCTCTACAATGCTAACTTCTCCTTCTGCTCTCCCATTTCCTCTCTTCCTTGAAAATCTGGGAACACTCCTCCAAGCAAGAAATTATCAGGAGATCCTCCCTCAGCCTTCAATGTTCCTCCAGAGAGCCACCAGGCTTGCTCCCTCACTTCCTCCAAGTCCCTTCTAAAATACCACATTACCAACAAGAGCCTTGACTGATTCCTCCTCCCATTCCTTACCAACACTGCTTTTTTCTTTAAAATGCTGACATTCTTGGTTACTTGTTCGTTTTCTGTCTCTTCCTACTACAATAGAAGGATAAGCTGTTTTTTTTCACTTTTGTGTCTGCAACAGCTAGAACAGTGCTTTGTACATGGTAAGCACTTAAAAATTTGTTAATCTTATCAACAAATAGTAATAGTGTGGTATCACTGCAAGGATTAAATGATAGCTGATTTATGGAGAACTGTTAACTCCAGTGACGTCAGGTACATAAGATTTCTATAAATTATCAATCCAAGGTAAAGCCTCATTTTATGCCATACATCAAACTTCCTTAAAAATGAGTTCAAAAGATGAATTTTAAAATATTATTGCATCTAAACCTATTGATTAAAAGGTATGTCCAACATGTACTGTTAGGAAGAAAAACATTGCAGAATCCTATTTAAATAAAATCTTAACTATCTAGATCTATATCTGATATGGTTTGGCTATGTCCCCACCCAAATCTCATCTTGAATTCCCACATGTTGTGGGAGGGAACTGGTGGGAAGTAATTGAATCATGGAGCAAGTCTTTCCTGTTCTTTTCTCATAATAGTGAATAAGTCTCATGAGATCTGATGGTTTTAAAAAGAGGTGTTCCTCTGCACAAACCCTCTCATTTTTTTGCCTGACACCATCCACGTAAGACGTGACTTGCTTCTCCTTGTCTTCTACGATGATTGTGAGGCCTCCCCAGCCATGTGGAACTGTAAGTGTAATAAACCTCTTTTTCTTCACAGTCTGAGGTATATCTTTATCAGCAGCATGAAAATGAACTAATCAAGTAAATTGGTACCAGTAGAGTGGGACACTGCTGAAAAGATACCCAAAAATGTAAAAGCAACTTTGGAACTGGGTAACAGTCAGAGGTTGGAACAGTTTGGAGGGCTCAGAAGAAGACAGGAAAATATGGGAAAGTTTGGAACTTCCTAGAGACTTGTTGAACGGTTCTGAAAAAAATGCTCATAGTGATATGAACAATAAGGTCCAGGCTGAGGTGGTCTCAGGTGGAGATGAGGAATTTGTTGGGAACTGAAGCAAAAGTGACTATTGTTTGTTTAAGCAAAGAGACTGGTGGCATTTTGCCCCTGCTGTAGAGATTTGCAGAAATTTGAAGTTGACAGAGATGATTTAGGGTATCTGGCAGAAGAAATTTCTAAGCAGCAAAGCATTCAAGAGGTGATTTTGGTGCTGTTAAAGGCATTCAGTTTTATAAAGGGAAGCAGAGCATAAAAGTTCAGAAAATTTGTAGCCTAACAATGTGATAGAAAAGAAAATCCCATTTTCTGAGGAGAAATTCAAGCTGGCTGCAGAAATTTGCATAAGTAACAAAAAGCCAAATGTTAATCCCCAGGGCAGTGGGGAAAATGTTCCCAGGACATGTCAGAGGTCTTCATGACAGCCCCTCCCATCACAGGTCCAGAAGCCTAGGAGGAAAAAATGGTTTTGTGGGCCAGGCCCAAGGTCCCTGTGCAGTGTGCAGTCTAGGGACTTGGTGCCCTGCTCCCCAGCTGTTCCAGTCATGGCCGAAAGGGGCCAACATAGAGCTCAGGCTGTTGCTTCAGAGGGTGCAAGCCCCAAGCCTTGGTAGCTTCCATGTGGTATTAAACCCGCGGGTGCACAGAAGTCAAGAATTAAGGTTTGAGAACCACTGCCTAGATTTCAGAAGATATACAGAAACACCTGTATGCAGAAGTTTGCTGCAGGGGTGGGGCTCTCATGGAGAACCTCTGCTAGGGCAGTGCAGAAGGGAAATGTGGGGTCAGAGCCCTCACACAGAGTCCCCACTGGGCACTGCCTAGTGGAGCTGTGAGAAGAGGGCCACCATCCTCCAAACCTCAATATGGTATATCCACAGACAGCTTGCACTATGCACCTGGAAAAGCCACAGACACTAATTGCCAGCTCATGAAAGCAGCTGGGAGAAAGGCTGTACCCTGCAAAGCCACAGGAGCAGAGCTGCCCAAGACCATGGGATCCACCTTTTACATCAGCATGACCTGGATGTGAGATGTGGAATCAAAGGAGATCATTTTGGAACTTTAAGATTTGACTGCCCCGCTGGATTTCAGACTTGCATGGGGCCTGTAGCCCCTTTGTTTTGGCCAATTTATCCCATTTGGAGCAGCTGTATTTACCCAATGCCTGTATTCCCATTGTATCTAGGAAGTAACTAACTTGCTTTTGATTTTACAGGCTCATAGGCAGAAGGGACTTGCCTTGTCTCATATGAGATGTTGGACTGTGGACTTTTGAATTAATGTTGAAATGAGTTAACACTTTGGGGGACTGTTGGGAAGGCATGATTGGTTTTGAAATGTGAGGACATGAGATTTGGGAGGGGCCGGGGCAGAATAATATGGTTTGGCTGTGTCCCCTCCCAAATCTCATCTTGAGTTCCCATGTGTTGTGGGAGGGACCTGGTGGGAAGTAATTGAATCATGGGGGCAAGTCTTTCCTCTGCTGTTTTCATGATAGTGAATAAGTCTCACAAGATCTGATGGTTTCATAAGGAGGAGTTCCCCCACACAAGTTCTCTCTCTTTGCCTGCCACCATCTACGTAAGATGTGACTTGCTCCTCTCCTTGCCTTCCACCAGGATTGTGAGGCTTCACCAGCCATGTGGAACTGTAAGCCCATTAAACCTTTTTTTCTTTGCAGTCTTGGGCATGTCTTTATCAGTAGTGTGAAAATGGACTAATACAATATTTGTATGAATATCTATAGAGAGAAAGAGAAATACATATGCACACCTGTGAATAACAATGTATTTGTTTCAACCTGCAAAAAGTTGTGGACATGTTCCTGGTTGTTTATCTGGTTTAAGTCAGGAGAGTTAGAATTCAAGACTAGAGGTAGGGATAAGATAGCAATGTTTTTCTAGATATGTCTTGCATAATACACTTGATAAGCAAGTATTCATTTATAATTTGCAAAAAACAACAAGAAATAATAATCAAGAAAAATCTGAAATCAAACAAATACAACACAGTATATTACCTTAAAGACACACCAATAATCCTCTCCAAAGTCTCCAGATACCCTATCTTTGAAAAGACGTTAAAGGTTGGTCTAAATATACAAACCAATAAATCTGACTCATCACATAAAAATAACTAAAAACAAAAATGACATGATTATCTCAATAGATGCAGAAAAGGCTTTTGATAATATCCAGCATCCCTTCATGTTAAAAGCTCTCAACAAACTAGGCATCGAATGAACACACCACAAAATAATAAGAACCATCTATGACAAGCACATAGCCAACATCATAATGAACTGGCAAAAGCTGGAAGCACTCCTCTTAAGAACTGGAACAAGAGAAGGATGCCCACCCTAAACATTTCTACTCAATGTAAGTACTGGGAATCCTAGCCAGAGCAATCAGGCAAGAGAAGGACATAAAAGGCATCCAAATAGGGCAAGAAGATGTCAAACTATTTCTGTTTCCAAACGGTATGATTGTATACCTAGAAAACCTCCATAGTCTCTGCCCAAAGGCTCCTGGATCTTTTAAACAACTTGAGCAAAGTTTTAGGATATAAAATCAATATACAAAATTAGTACAATTTCTATGTATTAATAAAGTCCAAGCTGAGAGCCAAATCAAGAATGCAATCCAATTCACAATAGTCACAAAAAGAACAAAATACCTAGGAATACAGCTAACTAGGAAAGGGAAAGATCTCTACACTGAGAATTACAAAAAACTGCTGAAAGAAATCAGAGATGAAACAAGCAAATTAAAATACATTCCATGCTCATGAATAGGAACAATCAATATTGCTAAAATGTCAATACTGCATAAAAAGCAATTTATAGATTCAATGCTATTCCTATCAAACTACCAATGACATTTTTCACAGAATTAGAAGAAAACATTCAAAAATGCATATGGAACCAAAAAAAGACCCCAAATAGCCAAAGCAATCCTAAGCAAAAGAACAAAGTTGGAAGCATCGCACTACCCCGCTTCAAACCACACTACAAGGCTATGGTAACAAAAACAGGATGATACTGGTACAAAAACAGACACATAGAACAACAGAACAGGATAGAGAACTCATAAATAAAGCCACACACCTACAACCATCTGATCTTCAACAAAGCTTACAATAACAAGCAATGAGGAAAGGACAAAGTATAAAGTACTGAAAATATTTTTTAATCACAAAAATTGAGAGTAAAAAGGGAGACTTATCTTGTAAAACGGCATAATAAACTACAATAAAAAATTGAGTGGAGAGTGGTTAAGGGCTCCAGAGTTTACAGAGTTCAAGAAAAAAAATGGTGGTTTCAGATGATAATGGGCAAGCTATATATTTGGAAGAAAAAAGTAAAATCAAAGTTATTCTGCTCTACATAAACAATTATATCCCACATGAAGGAAAAACTTGAATTATAAAAAAAGATTTCTATATAAACAACCCAAGCATATCTAATGTATATTCACTAGTATCTATTTCGTTGAGTGTAGAAAATCATGCAGAAGCAGAGGCTGTCAGGCCACCAATACTGAGTATGCAGTGTTGAGGGTATAGATGGAGTGAAGTGGGAAAGACAACTTTTACTCCATTTAGTTTTGCCTATCTTTTATTCAGGATAAACAAGTACTACCTATTTTCAAATCATGAGAAAGAAAATATGTTAATGCAAGTTAACTTGGAACACTCACTAAGCCTATTTTACGCACCATGAAGGAAGGAAGGAAGTAAACGGGGAAGGGAAGAGGAGGAGAAAGAAAAGGAGAGGGAAGAGCAAAGAAAAGTAAAAGTGGAAAGAAAACGGGGAAAGAAAAGAGGGAAAGTGAGAGGAGGGGAGGGGAAGGGTAGAGAAAGATGGGAAGGGAGAAGAGAGAAAAGAGAAAGGGAAGGGAGGGGAGAGGAGAGTATTGGAGAGAAGGAGAGGTGAGAGAGGAGAAGACAAAAAAGAGGAGAGGAGAGAGGAGGAGAACAAAAGCAAAGAGGGGAGAGAGATGCTAAGAGAGAATAGAAGGAGCAGGAGCAGAGGAGAGGAAAGGGAAGGGAAGAGGAGAGGGAGAAAATGAGAAAGAAAGGGAAAGGAGAAGACAAGAAGGAAAGGGAGGGGGAAAAGAAAAGAAGGGGAGAGGATACAGGAGAAGAGAGGAGGCTCCACTGGCATGCACCTAACACAGAGGTAGCGTTGTCAATACAAAATGTTCAACAGCATCCATCAAGCTTCTTAATATTACTGAAAGTTGGGGAGAAAAATAAGAAATATTAACTTGCATCTATATTGTCTAATATGAGCAATGACAAACTAAAATATATAAATAGGAAAAATACTACTCAAAAAATTTTTGTCATTAAGAGAAGAGAAGGAAAGAGACAGGAGAAGAGGAGAGAGGAGAGAAAGAAGAAAAAGAAACCTTTAGAAAGAGGAGGTGGGGGCCGGGCGCAGTGGCTCACGCCTGCAATCCCAGCACGTTGGGAGGCCGAGGCGGGCAGATCACAAGGTCAGGAGACCGAGACCATCCTGGCTAACACGGTGAAACCCCGTCTCTACTAAAAATACAAAAAAATTAGCCGGGCATGGTGGTGGGCGTCTGTAGTCCCAGCTACTTGGGAGGCTGAGGCAGGAGAATGGCGTGAACCCAGGAGGCTGAGCTTGCGGTGAGCCGAGATAGTGCCACTGCACTCCAGCCTGGGCAACAGAGCAAGACTCTGCCTAAAAATAAATAAATAAATAAATAAATAAATAAATAAATAAATAAATATAAAAAAAGGGAAGAAAGAAAGCGGAGATGGGAGAAATGGGAGGGGAAGGGTTGGGAAATAATAGTAATATTCAGAAGCTACTATCAAATGTTTGCTACTGTATCAGATATTGCAGTGAGTGCCTTTACATTGTGAGGACAACGTCAGACAACAAATATGCAAACACTTTACAAACAGGGAGCTGGCACAAAAAGATAAGGGAGGATTATAGCCTTGTTTCTAGATCTAATTAAAAGCTTTAAATATATATATACATATACATATGTGTATATATATATACACATATATGTGTGTATATATATACACACATATATGTGTGTATATATATACACATATGTATATGTATATATATACACACATATATATGTATGTGTGTGTATATATATATATATATATTTTTTTTTTTTTTTGAGACAGAGTCTCTGTCTCCCAGGCTGGAGTGCAGTGGTGCGATCTCGGCTCACCGCAAACTCCGCCTCCCGGGTTCACGCCATTCTCCTGGCCTCAGCCTCCCAGGTAGCTGGGACTACAGGCGCCCGCCACCACGCCTGGCCAATTTTTTGTACTTTTAGTAGAGACGGGGTTTCACCGTGTTAGCCAGAATAGTCTCTGTCTCCTGACCTTGTGATCCGCCCGCCTCGGCCTCCCAAAGTGCTGGGATTACAGGTATGAGCCACCGCACCCAGCCTCAAATGTACATTTTCTTACTCAGGGCCCAGCTACCCACCGGAACATAAGTACCAGGGATAAACCCCTTAGGGGCTCAACTTCACTCCCAGTGTTCAATCACAATTATTTTTAACCAAGAGATATTGTCACTAATGCCTCTGGATTCACGTTGCTGCCTTGCAACCATAGGGTGCCCAAAGGAAGGACTCTTCCAGTGGCAACCACGTGACATTGTGATCTCAACAACAAAGGTCGACAACAAAGTCTAAAGAAAGGGTTGCGTAGTGCGACCGAGAGACCCAGCTCCAAACAAGACTTTGTTCTGACTTGCTCTATGCCTGTCCAAGTTTGTGAAGATATGGTTATATGATTGAAAAATTGCAATGCATCCCATGTAAAGGGTAAAACTGTCTTCCTGAAATCTCAAGAACATCAAGTGAAAATCTCTGAGAACTCAGAAGATCGTTCAGCAAATCAAACAGAAAAAAGGCAAATATGAGCACTCTGTGAGCAATGCGAATTTAAAAATACCCCTTCACAACAGAAAGAAGGTAGACAATTTAGCAATAAGCCAATGCAGATTTGTCCAGAACATGAATGAAGAAAATATTGAAAGTGTCAGGAAGTTTTAAAACCAGAGACTGAACAATGCACACGGGCCCTTCTAGTCCCTGGCATGAATCCACTGCATCAGGTAGCGATTGCTCTCAAATTAAACGCTGGATTTGGAATCGTTATATTTAAAACAACTACTGAACCAAACAATATTAAAGCACAGGTACAACAATAAATTAGTGAGAAAATGTATGAAATTACCCACCACAAACTGTGGTGTAAAATGGCGGTATTGCAAAGGTTATCAGGGAGACTTAGTTATTGACACAGACCAAGGGATGAGAACCAACAACTCATATTACACTCGGCAAATGGGCCAGTCTTGGCAGAATATTAATCCTTGCATCTCACCAAAATTCTCCAAAAAATCCACTTTTCTGAAAAAACAATAAAAAAAAATCGTCTGCACAGAATCAGGATTTAGACTTTAAAATATGAAGCATAAGAACCTCCCTGGAGGTACATCCAATGGGACCTCCTCAGCAATGAGAGCAAGTTGTAGAGCAAAATCAGAGCATGCCCCACATGTGGACTAAGGAAGAAGTCCAGCCCTGCCCACCTGAGATCCTAGCTGCCTCAGGTCAGGAGTGAGAGAGGCTGCCTAAGGCCAGATGGGCCTTAAAGCTGGTTTTGTAGGGGGTAGCCTTGGATGATTGACCCAGAGAACACCACTCGATTCTGGCTTGCACATCTTGGCAGCAAGCGATACATTCGAAAGCAAAATGCCAGTAGAAATACCGAGCACAGTAACTAACTCATGTACGTGTTTCTACTGAGTCCCAGAATTTCTCTAACTTTCAAATGCTCTTGTCTCTCAAAATCAGACAATACCTGCTCTCTGAGTAATAGTAACAATTTACCAAGAATTGTGTAGAACCCTTATAAATATACCTGTAAAACATTGTTGAGGGATATAACCAAAACTTGCATCAAAGGATATATCTACATATATGTATGGCAAGATCTTATACTGTAAAATAATGGTTTTTATCTCACCAGCAGTTTTCGAAAACTGCATTAAAAATCCCAGAGCCGTGACACTTTGGGGCACTGCTGGCCAAGATAGATTTCTGTAATGACAGGAATGTTTTATATGCATGCTACTCATATTGCAGCCACTAGCCACTTTTGCCTATTGTGCGCTTGAGATGGGAAGTAAGATTGTATTTAATTTAAAATAAACTATCAATAGTCATGTGTCCAGAATTGGTGGGTTCTTGGTCTCACTGACTTCAAGAATGAAGCCGCGTACCTTCGAGGCGAATGTTACACTTCTTAAAGGCGGCGTGTCCGGAGTTTGTTCCTTCTGATGTTCGGATGTGTTTGGAGTTTCTTCCTTCTGGTGGGTTCGTGGTATCACTGGCTCAGGAGTGAAGCTGCAGACCTTCGCTGTGAGTGTTACAGCTCTTAAGACTGCGCCTCTGGAATTGCCTCTGGAGTTGCTCGTTCCTCCTGGTGGGTTTGTGGTCTGGCTGGCTTCAGGAGCAAAGCTGCAGACTTTCACAGTGAGTGTTACAGCTCATAAAGGCAGTGTGGACCCAAAGAGTGAGCAGTAGCAAGATTTACTGCAAAGAGCAAAAGAAAAAAAAGCTCCCACAGCATAGAAGTGGACGCTATCAGATTGCCACTGCTGGCTCCAGCAGCCTGTTTTTATTCTCTTATCTGGCCCCACCCACATCCTGCTGATTGGTCCATTTTACAGAGAGCCGATTGGTCTGTTTTACAGAGAGCTGATTGGTCCATTTTGACAGGGTGCTGATTGGTGCATTTACAATCTCTGAGCTAGACACAAAAGTTCTCCATGTCCCCACTAGATTAGCTAGATACAGAGTGTCGATTGGTGCACTCACAAACCCTGAGCTAGACACAGAGTGCTGGTTGGTGCATTTACAAACCTTGAGCTAGATACAGAGTGCCGATTGGTGCATTCACAATCCCTTAGCTAGACATAAAGGTTCTCCAAGTCCCCACTAGACTCAGGAGCCCAGCTGGCTTCACCCAGTGGATCCGCACCGGGCCACAGGTGGAGCTGCCTGTCAGTTCCGTGCCGTTCGCCCGCACTCCTCAGCCCTTGGGTGGTTGATGGGACTGGGCGCCATGGAGCAGGGGGCAGCGCTCGTCGGGGAGGCTCAGACTGCGCAGGAGCCCAAGGTAGGGTGGGGTGGCGGGCGGGGGGGCACTCAGGCATGGCAGGGTGCAGGTCCCAAGCCCTGCCCCGTTGGGAGGCAGCTAAGGCCTGGCGAGAAATCGAGCACAGCAGCTGCTGGCCCAGATGCTAAGCCCCTCACTGCCCGGGGCCTGCGGGCCCGCCGGCCGCTGCGAGTGCAGGACCCGCCGAGCCCACGCCCACCCGGAACACGCACTGGCTCGCAAGCGCCGCGCGCATCCCGGGTTCCCGTCGGCGCCTCTCCCTCCACACCTCCCCGCAAGCTGAGGGAGCCAGCTCGGGCCTTGGCCAGCCTAGAAAGTGGCTCCCACAGTGCAGCGGCAGGCTGAAGGGCTCCTCAAGTGTGGCCTGAGTGGGCGCCAAGGCCGAGGAGGCGCCTAGAGGGAGCGAGGGCTGCAAGGGCTGCTAGCACGCTGTCACCTCTCAGTCACACCTGGTAAGTTCAACTTTAGGCAATCCATTCATGAAATAAAATTAAAGACTAATGAGGTATTTCTCATACTAGATACTAAAATGGAAAAACTACCAAATTAAAACTGTAAGGTCTTTTAGCTCAAGAATGAACAGAGTTGAAACAAGTATTATACTAAGGTCAAATGCTTTTGGGAAAATTAGATGTTTGTGAAAAAATTAAACTGTTAAATCAGCACTTCACAATTTACACTCAATAAATTTTATATGAGTTAAGAGGTTGAATTTTAAAATGTACAAGATAAATCTATTGATCTGGAAAGATTTCCATTTTAAGTGAAAAAGAAAGTTTAAAATGCATAGCATGCTGGCTGTTTTAAGGAAACATTTGTTAAAGGTTACCCATGTTTTGGTATAAACAGAGGGGCCTCTCAGCCTGAGTTGACTGTTGGGGTATGCAGCATATTTGGAGGAGTTGGTGGGGGTGTGGGGTGGTTAGGCAGTGTGGGGTGAATATGGACATATTTAAGTGGCTTTGTATCTATTTATCTGATGAGTTTTAGTGTGGTCTCGGGACTTCCAATAATGGATGTCTTAAGAGTATGTTGGAGGGGAGTAGGGACTCCCTAAATCCTCAGCCTTCCTTGAAATATAGTAATGCCGCATTTAACAACAGGGATACATTCTGAGAGTTCTGTCCTTGGGCGATTTTATCATCATGCAAACATCAGAGAGGATACTTGCAGGATAGATGGTACAACCTGCTACATTCCTAGGCTGTATGGTATAGCCTATTACTCCTGGGCTATAGCATGTTACTGTACTGAATACTGTAGGCAACTGTAATACAATGAGAAATATTTGTGTATCTAAACATGTATAAACACAGGAAAGGTAGAGTAAAAATATAGCATTATAGACTTACGGGACCACCGTGTTACATGTGGTTTGTAGTTGGCCGAAATGTCCTTATGTGGCACATAACTATCTTTGCTCTCTTCCTCCAGTAATTTGAGCATATGTAATTTCTCTAATCAAAATAATTTTATTCTAAAACTGCAGAAAAATGTGTCTTTTATTTGCTTTACTACTCTTCCCTCTCCAACTTTAATTTTTCACATATTCAAGAGGAAAATGATATTTTCTAGTGAGAACAATTGCAATTGTGAAGATTTATTGAGTATTTTGTCCAGGTCAGGCACTGCACCGTGACCACATGAGGATCTTCTCCTCAAATCTTCACAACAGGCCCATGCAGCAGATGGAATAATTACACCACCTCCCTTATCAAGTAGTCACATAGGTCAAGATTGATTCCACTTGAAAATACTTTGATAAACTGCAAATAAACCAGCATGTTAAGGGGTTATGTTACAAAGACATGATGCTAATTCTAATTCTAATCACATCCCCTGATAACATATTGCTTTGCTATCTAAAGTACAAACATTTTCCACTATGTGACTGCAAGGGACTTCTCTAATTGCTGTGGTTTGAGCCTCTTGCAAGCACTACTGGCATTCTCTATAATCAAAAGATTTCCAAGGTATTTTGCCTTTCATATGGAGAGGGAGTTACCCAAAAAACAATGCTCCCTGACTCGTGATACACGGCCATGTGTATGCAGCGTGTATGAGGATGTGGTAGGTGCTTTTTGAAATCTTTTTTATTATTAAATGTATAATAGTCACCTGATTTTCATGATGCTATGCAAATGCATAAAGAATATTTTTATCTAACTAGAAATTGTAAATAATAAATTAACAATTATGAAAACTACTAAGTTGAATCAAATGGGTAGAAATAAATTAGATATATAGAAACAAGTCATTAATGAAAGGAGAAAATTAAACGCACAGGAGTAAACATATCAAGAATTATTCTAAACCTATAAGGAGAAATAACAAACATTTCCTAATGCGTATGGAAAGCAGACTCCAATGAAAAGATACATACTCACATTACTCAGGCAGAACATCTGATACTTGTAATGAGATTTGTTTGCAGAATTTAATGTATGTTTTATGGTAATTGCATTTTTAAAATCTTCACTGAGGTGCTTTATTTTTTCCTGAATTTGACAAAGTGATGTTAGGTTCATCCAGAAATATATCTGGGTATATATTTTGAAAAAATCATAGAAAGTAAAACTAATAAAGGATATTTACCACACCAGGCGCTAATTGGCATTTTATGGTCAGAATAATTAGCCCAGTGTGGTCCGGGCTCACACACTGACAGTCAGGTCCACCGAACCGTGTTAATGAAGGAAAATGCTGGGGAGGTGTCACAGCACAGTGTCACTTTACACACCATGTAACCAGATGATACCGTAGAATAACTTAAACAATTTCATTTAGAAATTTATGAAACCACTAACACTTCGACACGTATTTCTACAAAGCAGCTCTAAGTTAGGAAAGAATGTTTCTCTTCAGTGTTCAAAGTACAAAAGCATTTAAGCAAGAGTTGCAGCCAAGCCCTACGAGATGGAGATCTGTGTGCAGTTATCTCTGCCCCCCTGGAGGATGGCACAGCCCTAGGTGATTGATTATGCAAGGGCTTCCTCATCTCATCTTCCCAGCAAGCCTTTGATGCTGATGTAATTATTACAACTAATTCACTGAGGTACAGCACAGATCAAATGAGGAAACCAGGAAACCGTAATGTCATTACACAAGGTTAAGGATGGTTATCATTTTAACGCCATGCTGATGATAACTACACTTCCCATTTGGAATCTCCAGAACTATGAGGATGGGGGCTGTGAGTCAACCTGCTAACTAGCTGGGTTTAACCCTTGTGGTTATATTGCCAAGCAGTCTACCAAAACTATCCCAAGAGTGTGGCTTCCATGTGGCTGCCAGCACAAACCTGGGCAGCAAAGTCATATCTAACCACTTACCTGAACCGTGTACAGATGCCATCACAGAGTTAAACAATCAAGTCACTGTCCAGGAAGGAAAGGTCCCCAAAGCAAGAAGCCTCCTTATTGTAAATGGCGATGTCTAGCACTTAAAGAAGATGATGTCCCCGTCCGGGAGGTGGGGGGCGCCTCTGCCCGGCTGCCCTGTCTGGGAAGTGAGGAGCCCCTCTGCCCGGCCGCCACCCCGTCTGGGAGGTGTACCCAACAGCTCATTGAGAACGGGCCATGATGACGATGGTGGTTTTGTCGAATAGAAAAGGGGGAAATGTGGGGAAAAGAAAGAGAGATCAGATTGTTACTGTGTCTGTGTAGAAAGAAGTAGACATAGGAGACTCCATTTTGTTCTGTACTAAGAAAAATTCTTCTGCCTTGGGATGCTGTTAATCTATAGCCTTACCCCCAACCCCGTGCTCTCTGAAACATGTGCTGTGTCCACTAAGGGTTAAATGGATTAAGGGCGGTGCAAGATGTGCTTTGTTAAACAGATGCTTGAAGGCAGCATGCTCCTTAAGAGTCATCACCACTCCCTAATCTCAAGTACCCAGGGACACAAACACTGCGGAAGGCGGCAGGGCCCTCTGCCGAGGAAAACCAGAGACCTTTGTTCACATGTTTATCTGCTGACCTTCCCTCCACTATTGTCCTATGACCCTGCCAAATCCCCCTTTCCGAGAAACACCCAAGAATGATCAATAAATACTAAAAAAATTAAAAAAAAAAAAGAAGATGACGTGGTTTTAAAGTTGCACTGTGTCAAATATACAGACGCTCTTGTAAGGCAGGTGTGGTGGTATCACGATTATCCCCATTTTACAGACGAAGAAATGGGGGTTCAGAGGTAAGACAATCAGTTTAAATCTAGATCACCTTGATTGATTCCAGGGCCTTACAACTTACCCATACGCTGCACTGATTTCCCACTGGAGCCGAGCAGTAGGGAAGCACAGGGGCACACAGCTTGACGACTGTATATTCTCAATTGGGAGGTCAAGCAGGAGCCAAGACCTTATGAAATTGATGGGTAATTGCTCACGCTTGGAGCAGCCACTGAGGCTCCTCCTGCCATGCCATTCTCTTCAATCAGCTGAGAACAGATGAAATCACAAGTGAGTCATGAGAGACAGAAGCAAAACATTTTCAAATAACACTGACCTGAGCAAAGCCTCTGTAAACTTCTCTTCCAAAGTCACCTTCCTGAAGTATACTAGGGAGAAAAGAAAGGGGTTAGGAGATTGTCAAGGCAAACCTCACCAGGATTTCCTCTAGCAAATTGCCTTTCCTTCAGATCAGCTAAGTCTTCACCGTCACATTGGCTCTCCATACTCTGTAGGTTGGAAGTGCACTCTACACAGCGTCTGCTGTCATCAAGTATTGTTCTATTTAATTCAAGTAGAACCGTGTGTGCAGTCCAGGACACAGGGGATAAAAGAGAGAGGCTTTCAGGGAACATGTCGATCATCATATTTAAGAAGAAATTACATTGCGGCATATGGAATTTAAATATCAACAAAACAGAGGGGAATCTCAAGGTTTGCTGGAAGTGGTGAGGAAACCATGAATTTGAAATGATGGAGTCTGTTCATCTTACAACAACACATAATGAGCACCAACTATATGCTAAGAATTTTGGCCAGGATCTTCTGTATCTATTATCTCTCATAATTCTATTCATCATCTTGAGAAGCTAGTACCCAGGGCCACACCTTTTAGATGAAGTGTCACAGAGATTATTAAATGGCCCAATGTGACTCGCCAAAGGAGTGAGGTGGCTGGAATTCAAATTAATTGGGTCTGGCTCCAGAATCTGAAATCGTTCCTTTGCACATTAGTTGTTTGGGTGACATGTTTATCTGATTTGTGAAAAGAAATCAATTCTGATTTTATGAATGCCACTTCCTCTCCTTTCATATGTTTTGGCTATAGTGGCATGTTGTTTATAAGTGGAGGACTGACTTTACTTTCAGGCATAAGCATTAAGCTTTCAAAAGTGAGTTTAATCCCATAGGTCTGTAAGCAGTCTTTAAACAGACTTCTCAAGTTAAAATAAAGTATGACAGATGGCAACATACTGTGAGCAGAATATAATAATGATGTAAATAAAAAAATACAAAAAATGGCATTTGTTTCACAAAATGAAAGCCCATTATGAAGGTTACTCTTTTGAATTTTTGGATTCACATAAAAAAAGAGATAGAATCCAAAATTATCTCAATGGCAAAAATGACAGAGTAGTAAATTTAGCAAGGTGAAAATTAATGTAGCTGAATGTGAACCCAAGATCTAGACTAAAATGAAATAAAACAAGCACAAGCACTGCCTATGTTTAGGATTAAAGAGATTTCACTAACCAATAGTTTTGTTTGTTTTGTTTTTTTCTAAAAAGGGGGTTTGCTGTTTTCTGCAAGCTCAGAATGAGTCAACAGTGTGATAAAGTTGCTGAATAGTGATTATGATTTTAGATTATATCAGAAGAAGGATGCTACGTAAAATGATAGTCTCTGTTCTGTGAGGAACAGGCTTTCCCTAATATTCTTAGTTCTTTTTTGTTTGTTTGTTTTAGACAGAGTCTCGCTCTGTCACCAGGCTGGAGTGCAGCAGTGTGATTGTGGCTCACTGCAACCTCCACCTCCCAGATTCAAGTGATTCCCCTGCTTCAGCCTCCTGAGTAGCTGGGACTAAAGGTGTGCACGACCACGCCCAGCTAATTTTTTTTTTTTTTTGTATTTTTAGTAGAGATGGGGTTTCACCATGTTGGCCAGGATGGTCTCGATCTCCTGACCTCGTGATCCACCTGCCTAGGCCTCCCAAAGTGCTGGGATTACAGGCGTGAGACACCGTGCCCACCTTTTTTTTTTGAGTCAGAGTTTCACTCTTGTTGTCCAGGCTGGAGTGCAATGGCATGATCTCAGCTCACCGCAACTTCCGCCTCCTGGGTTCAAGCGATTCTCCTGCCTCAGCCTCCTGAGTAGCTGGGATTACAGGCATGTGCCACCATGCCTGGCTATTTTTGTATTTTTAGTAGAGACGGGGTTTCCCCATGTTGGTCAGGCTGGTCTCGAACTCCCGACCTCAGGTGATCCGCCCACCTCGGCCTCCCAAAGTGCTGAGATTACAGGCATGAGCCACCACGCCTGGCCCTGACTTGATTCTTAATGCCACATTTTTTGGCATGCTAGCTTACATCTAGAGGTGAATGGTCAGGATGGTAAAGAGTCTAGAAGCTTTGGAAATGAAAGAACTGAGGTTGTTTAGAAGATAAATGACTTAGTAGATTAAATACTAATGATGTCCTCAACTATTAGAAAGGGATATCATATGGAAAAGAACTGTGTGGTTCAAAAGGGACTAACTAGGACTTTAGCTCACTTGGTAAAAGTTATAAGAAAGTAGATTTTGGTCTGATAGTCAAATAAACTCTACACCAGTTAGAACAGTCCAAGATAATCCTCATGAGATAATGACTTCTAAATCTCTAGAGGTCAGATAAACCAGGGGTCCCCAACCCCTGGGCCACGTACTAGTACTGGTCTGTGACGTGTTAGGAACTGGGCCGTATAGCAGGAGGTGAGCAGTAGGCCAGCTAAGCTTCATCTGTATTCACAGCTTCTCCCCATCACTGGCATTACCACCTGAGCTCCACCTCCTGTCAGATCAGTGGCAGCAGTAGATTCTCATAGGAGCACGAACCCTATTGTGAGCTACGCATCCACGGGATCCAGGTTGCGGGGTCCCTATGAGAATCTAACACCTGATGATCTGTCACTGTTTACATTATGAGGGATAATCCCCATTCATCTCAGAAGATAGTGCTCAGACACCTACTGGGCATGACAGATAGAAATGCCGAGACTCAGAAACAGAAATTTCATGTGAAATTTTCCAAGCCTGACCTTCTACCTGAAGAAGCAATCCCATGTTGGTAAGTGGTTTATCTCAGCTGTCCCCAAACTTTTTGGCCTCAGGGACAGGTTTCATGGACTTGGGTGGGACTTGCCCCAAGATGAGACTGTCTAGTTGCAGGAAAACAAGCTCAGGGATCCCACCGATTCTACATTATGGGGAGTTGTATAAATATTCCATTATATATTACAATGTAATAATAATAGAAATAAAGTGTACAATAAATATAATGTGCTTGAATTACCCGAAAACCACCCGCTGCCCCCAACCACCCAAGTCCATGAAACGTGTCCCTGAGGCCAAAAAGTCTGGGGAGAGCTGAGATAAACCACTTATCAACATGGGATTGCTTCTTCAGATAGAAGGTCAGGCTTGGAAAATTTCACATGAAATTTCTGTTTCTGAGTCTCGGTATTTCTATCTCTCATGCCCAGTAGGTGTCTGAGCACTGTCTTCTGTGATGTATGGGAGTGATCCCTCATAATGTAAAATTTGCATAACTACATGGAAAATGAAACACAAAAGAAGAGAGGGTGGCCTAAAGGGAGAACTGGAATCATTTGAACAATTCTGTCTTAAGAAGTACGTATCGTCTTGAACTAGGGATGGTAAGACAGCCAGATAATTATAAAGAATTGCACGCCCTATTTTACAAAGCACAGAAGAGTGCATTAGGTTTGGCTTTTTCTAGGCAAAAAGGAGGCACCATGAACCCATAAAGATGATGAGAAATGTAGACAATTCTACATGCCTGGAAAAAGTGGTTACGGCTGCAAAGTGGAATCAATGAGTAAGGACTGGAGCCAAGTATTTGGAAAGCTAGCAAAGGAAAGCAGAGAGGATTCCTCAGAAGCTGAAGCTGACTCTGGAAGAAAAGAGAATAGAGAAATGAATACATGTGATTTTGCAACATGAAATACTGTGAACTGGAGTTGATGAATGGTCCAGGTGCTGAGGCCCAAATTTGGAGTGACTTTTTGGCAGAGTAAACACTATGACAGATGGTGTTTGCTTGAAAAGGCATGAGAGGAAGGATAATGGCCATTTACTTCAGTATATGAGGAACAGAGAAAAGGAATCCAAAGTATCTGAGAAAAGTTCAAGGTAAATAATTATTTAATGGAAATTTACCATGTTTAGGGAAGCCACCAAAATCTATCTAATACAGTATGGACCCATGGGTGCCCACAGAAATCAGTGACACACATTGAATTCTGGGAATGGAATCTAGTTTTACTTAGGTGGCTTTCAAAACCTTTTCGGGTATGCCAGAATAACCTGTTTAAACAAAGTTTCCTGTCCCAAAAGATGGAAGCATTTTCTGGAACTGTTAAAACAACCCTTGTTACTTGTTCATGCAGTGTCAAATAAAAAGGAAGAGGAAGGAGGAGGAGGGAAGGAAATATTCTTGTACTGAGCCCCACTGTAAGTCAGGCAGTATGCTAGACATGTTCACACATATAAACTCATGTAATCCTCATATTAATAATATGACATAAGTATCATCATCTATACACAGAAACAGGCCCACTGTGGGAAAGTGGCTTGCCTAAGATTACACAGATAGTAAAAGAAAGAAAGCAAGGTTTTAAATCGAGGCCTCTATGAGAAACTTGTAGAATGGTTGATTGGAAATAATTCATAAACAGGAAAAATAATTATTGGTGGAAATGCAGTAGAGACTAACGGTCACAAAAATCCATTGTCATATAAACAGAAAGCAAGCAAGTAAGTTAAAAACCACATAATAAAGAAAAGATGAAGAAAAACTGGTAGTGCATCCGAGGCTACTTCCCAGAGCCTGAGCCATCATCAGAGACTGGTCATAAATGGACAATATTAAACACAAACCGTTCTGGGAATAATACAAGTTGGCTGCCATATCACTCAGCAACTCACCTACTTTTTCCTTTCAGCTCTTAATAACGCAGCAGCAGCAGCAGCAGCAGCAACAACAAAAGAGCACAAGGTACTGACAAAGGGGAAACATCTGAAAGTGGAAGCTGGGAAAATGCCCAAGAAAGAAAACAAAAAATAGCGATACATTCAAGGAGTCAGATCAGAAAAAGCCAAAGTAGGAAGTGAAATGCAGCTTTGAAAGATACAAAGGGACAGAAAAAAAATCAATAAAGAGACCCATGGGAAAAAAAATACGTTTTCCTGGAGTGGCTGGAGAAGAAAGCTGTGCAAGTTGGTACACACATGTCTGAGTATAGGCACTAGAGCTTTTAAAAAAGGTCTGGATGCTTTAGGAAGTAACTTGCCGTAATATTCTGACAAATACAGTTATTAAGTAATACAGATCCCCAATTACTTCTGCCAGGAAATAGCAGTGATGCATAAAGGGAATAAAAGCTGCTATTTGGCTAAGAGAGGCCAGAGCTGGTTTCATTGACACAGGGACGTGGAGATCACCATGTAATTCTCTTCCTTTCAGAAATGGAAACTAAGACTCAGAGAGCTTCAATTATGCCATTGCCTCCTGTGAAGGAGTGTTCAAGATAGCAGAAATCTGTGAGTAATGGGAAGAGGGAGACTCTCCTATGGAGACTGTGGCAGAGTGAGATTTAAAATATCTCAATCTAAAGACTCCTGGGGCAAAGCCCTCAGACCATCAGTCTGCAGAGAGAGACATTTTTTTTTTCTTAAGGCATCACAAAAACAACAAAGAAAATAAGATAAGTGCTTCAACTGAGTTTTTCTAAGTGAGTAAAGAATGAGAAAACCTCAAAACAGCACAGAAAAAAGTTGTAAATGCAGTTGGTCTAGTCATCAGTGTAAAAGCATAGATAGACAAGTTCTTCTGTATGTGTTAATATCATCTTGACTGCACTGCATGTCATTATATTTTATGATTTATTTGAAGGATTGTTTTTTAACTTGCTATACTGATTTTCTGAGACCTGACCTGAACAAGGGAGTGGGAACACTGGTGAACAAAAGCAGAAAAAGATAAAGGCAAGTTAGAACTGCAAAGTAAAATGCATATAATTCCAATTTCCTATGTGCTGATCAAAAAAATTCTGATGAAATACCACTGTACTAGCTTGGGTAAGGTGTGGTCAGGGTAAATTGAACTGTGAATTACTCCTTGCAGAGGGGAAAGTGTTTGCTAAGAAGGGACGTGCTTGTGTTAAACTGCATGCCACCTGCTTCTTCTGACAAAGATCGCAAGCTACGAAACCAGCATGAAAGCTCCTGTGGTTTGTCAGTCTTTCTGGAGAACATTATAATGAAACTTTAACTTTCTGCTATCAATTTTGGCAATTAAAGTGAACATTACTGTGTGGCCTGACATTCTAGATGTTTCTGCTTTCTGATTGACTAACCACAAAGACTAGAGCAGCCCAGCAGGCAGGATCCCCTGAGTTCAAGCTAACCACCAGTGATTTCTCAATTAAGAGTACAAATTGGTCAAAATCATGCTGAGCCTGACTTAACAAGAATAGGAAGCCAAGAATTCTTCAAATGGAAGAATTGGCCAAAGCACTGAAATTTCAGACCCTTTGCCTTGGGGCCAAAGGTCATTTCCTGACAAAAGGCAATGCCTGAAAGTAGGCAGCATCAAAATTGGCATATAATGCATAGGGATGTTCATTCCTGGTCTTCACAACTGTGCAAGGCATTACAGAAAAGGGAACTTCAGTACTCCTTTGCCTTCTACAGCCTTGGTTCTGCATCACTTTGCCTATTTTTAATCAACATAACTTACAACTGCTTGTGCTGAGGCTCCCTCCATATCTGTGAGGAATTGGTACCAGGATACTACATGGATATCAAAATCCAAGAATGCTCAAGTCCCTGATATAAAATGGTGTACTTGCATATAACCTAAGCTCATTTTTCTGTATACTTTATCTCTAGATTACCTCTGATACCTAATGCAATATAAATGCTGTGTAAATGGTTATTATACTGCATTATTTTATTTGTGTTTTATTATTGTATTGTTATTTTTAATTGTTTTTTCCCTTAATATTTTCAATCTGTTGTTAGTTGGATCCACGAATGTGGAACCCATGAACAAGAAGGGCCAACTCTACTCTGTCCCAGATGTCTCGTAGAGTCTTCCCAGTATTCTTCATATAGGATTCAGGTTTTGCTTCTGGCTAGACTAGTTTAGATACACGTTCCCTTACAGCTGGACCAGATCCTATGACTGGCAGTCTTGGAGGGATGCCCTCGCCGTTTTCCTCTTCCATTACCATGGTCAGCCGTCTATGCAAGTTGCCAACCAGAGGCAGGGGAAAGTAGGCAGGTAGAAGCTGTTTTTCTGCTTAACAGGCAAGGCTTCACATTACAGCTCCTACTGTCTTGAGTTTATTACTAGCAAAGATTCTGGGTAAAATCGTATGATTGGTTACCAAGTCACCAATTCATTGTCATTGCCCTGGTTTTCCTAGACCTAACTTTTTGGTCTCTGATAGCATATCACCTTCCTCTTCACAGCCCTGAAGAAAGTGCCAAATTTTTGCCCATCTGGACTCCTTATAGTGATTCTTAAGAAAAGCCTTCCAAGGAGTACTGGGGAACTGATCCCGCAATTCATGTCCTCTATCTAGACACACCATTTTCTCAGATTTTCCCTAACATTAATTACTGTGGTGGCAGTGGGAAGGTCATATTTATTTTTATCTCGTTCAATGAGGAAGTTGCTTGGTTTTATAAACTTCAAGTACGAGAGTCTCCTAGACCTGGTCCCTATAAGGATCAGGGCAAATTACTTTTCATGATGACCTGTGGGACTAGCCTGTCCATCCTGTGACACCTATCAGCTGCTTCCACACTTGTTGTAAGCCTGTCAGGGAAGTGGCAATTATCAGAGTAGGCCAGAAGTTGTCAGTTTTTTAAAATTACTCCTAACGTTAAATAGCAATCAATAAGAACTGTGTCTCTTAACAAATATAGAAAAATGTTTGACCTAAGGCCAAAATAGATTTGTTGTATTTTAGGTGCCTTTACTTTGGGTGGATATACAATGAAATATCTGTGACAGTGCAGAGAGAAATAATTCACATCAATGCTACACTTCGTGAGGAAGGTGTCTTAACTCGTTGTCTGTGAGACTTAAAGCACAGTGAATGCTTAAGGAACTCAATGAGATAAACAAGGCCATCTTGAATGGCATTTTGCATACCTCTTCCAGCACTCCTGTTACCATGTGTGTACAAGGAACTGGACCACATAATAAGCATTGAAGGTAGCCTTAAGAGGAACGTGAAATTCAGTTCAGTATCCATGGGGTACGTGGTTTGTGCCAGGCTTTCTCGGTGATATGAGAAACAAAGTTGAAGCAGATATGATTTCTCTCTGCAGGAGTTCACAGTTCAGTGAAAAACATAAACAAAACAAGACCAAACCTTAAGGTACCAACATATAATGATAGTCAAGGGATACAAAATGCTACATTAGAGAATAATCAAAAAGAGCGGGGCTCTCAGAGAAAGGACCAAGCCTGCTTACGGACGTTTGAGAAGTTTCCAGTTGAGACAAACTTTTAAGATGATCTCGAGTAAGCAGGACTTTTGACAAAGACGACAGTAGGTGACGTTCCTGGCAACAAGTAAAACATTTCCACGGTTGAGAGGTTCCAAAGGGCAGGCATGGCATGTTCAAGAACTGGCTAATACTCCTCCATGGCTGGAGCATGGGGAAGAGGGATGGAAAGGTCAATGGGCTGTAAATAGCAAAGACCTTGAGTCCCGCATTACAGTTGTGACTTTATTGTGGTGGGCAATGGGAAACAACTGATATTGTTGGGCAGAAGAATGGCATGATTCGAAGGATAGCTCTGGCCACAAGAAAAGAGGATGCATTGGCATCAAATTGAGACTAGTGTCAGATACACCACTTAGGAAGTAGAGGGAACTTAAGAAATGTATAGGAATTTAATGAAGGCCAATCTCAGAAACCTGAAAGATAAACTAAGATTCAAGAGCAGCAGATATTAGCTAGGCAATCCTTGAAAAGGTTAACCTTCATTCCCTTACTTGCAAAATGTACATCATAACCCTGTCCTGCTTTCTTTATATGGATGTGGCAAGGACCCAATGAAACAATCTAAATGGAAGTTTGTAACCAACAGAAAAACACTACAAAAAGAACTAATGATCATCGTGTTAGAAGGGTTTATGCTAATTGCTCGTCAGGCCCAGTTCTGTACCCTCAGGGGCCGTTCCTCCTTCCCTTTGTCTTCTACCAAGCCTTAAATCAATGGTGACTGTGTGGAATCAATGCATTGTGAAAGCAGCTGAGAAGGTGGGTACCCTTTACTCTGTGCTTGCTCACTCCTTCATATACTCCTCTATCTTTTTCCTTCCTTTCTCATTCCAGTCCTTGCGACCTTCTGCTCATCAGCTGGACTCTTCTGCTTACTTCCTTCTGCCATTCCACATGCCGCCAGCCTTCCCTGACCGCTTACTGCCTATTCTCCCTACAACCTCAAACGACCTTCCTCTACTCTCCAAGGCCTAGACCAGGCTCCTTTTCATTCACTTGCACTTATGCCCCTGGTCTTTGGCTCTTTATCCTTTGTAAGAGCTGCCTGGAAGAGAGCCCATGTTTCTACTCCTTCTCCCAGGCATGCTCAACAACCAGACCCTCAAATGCATGAGGAACTGGTCCCTTGGAACTGGGCTGCTAAAGAATAAAACCTGTGCTGCCTGGCCTGGAGTGCCTTTGAGCATCATAAGATACAGGAGTAAACAACATAAGAGTAACATGAAGGAATAATACTTTACATATATGATCTCATTTAATCCTGGCATCTCTATGAAGCAGGTTATCCATATGCTACCTAAACGAAACCAAGAAAACTATAGGTTAAGAAAACTTATCAGGTTTCTCAAGGAAGATTTATAGTAAACAGTCCCTTCAGTTTCTGCAGCACCTCATGGTGTAAGTGTGTGCTGGCCCTTGCAAGGAGTAGGGAACAAAAAGTATGGAGTAGGCTATGTTATGACACATAGGCAAGAGGGTTCTCTAAATTACAATTCACTCAAAAGTGACAATTAGGATATTTTAAAGAAAGTTTTCTCTTGTATGAGTTTAGATTTGCTTTGTCATAAATGAAAGAAAAATAGCCTAAACTGGCTTAAGCAAAAGCAGGATTCACTGGTGGTCACATAACTGCAGATTCCAGGAGAAGGGCAGGCTTAGAGTATGGCTAGATCCAGGGTTCAAATAATCTCATCAGAATCCAGTTTCTTTGTTCTGCCTTCTGCTTATTAGTTTCTATCTCTGGAGCAATATGTTAGCAAAGTGGTGGCAACAGCTGCAGATTGTCCATCTTCCTATGTTCGAAACCAATCAGAAGGAAAATAACTTCCCAGGATGCCCCAGACACAGTCTCATTGTATCTCACTGGCATTTGTTTCACTGTGTGACCAAACGTGAATAATCATTATGGCCAGGCATATAATATGGTCAAATGAGATACAGTTGATGGTTGAGTCCCAGGTCATATATTCTGCCAACTGAATTATGGAGTGAGGTGCCACTTGAGTCAAATGAACCAAGAATGGAGAAAGAATAGCGTCTTAAATGGCTGTTTCCTGATACGGTAAATGGATGCCTGGTGACCAAAAGATAAAAAGATCCTTTATATGTCTCTAATAAGTAAATATTCCACAGAGGGAATGAGTAGCTAGTAAAAGCGAATAATTCATAACATCTATTGAATGCTTATTATGTACCAGGCACTATGTTAAACACTTTACATATATTATTTCCATATGCCTCACAATCACCCTCTGAGATAAGTAATAGTAATATTGAAATATTACAAATGAAAAAAAAAATAAAAAAAGTCCAGAGCAGTGAAGTCACTAGTCCAAGGTCCCACAGCTAATAAGTGGAGAAACACATATCACCTCAAGCTATTACCAAAAACTAACACTTTTGTGTTAGTTAAAATAAATTTTGTGTTAAAAATAAATTTGTTAGCATAATGGAGAAGTTCTAATGGAGATAGAGAGGTGTGCTCAAGGAATCAAAATGCTTACAAGGAGGTGGGGCAGTTTCATGTTAGAAAAAGACCCCCTTATAAAAAGTTGGGTTCATTTTGCAAGTAACAGAAAATTTGATTAATAGTGTCTTAATCAGTGAAAATGTATTATCTCACCTCCCAGAAATCCCAAAGCAGGGAGTTCCAGGGTTGGTTCATTCAGCAGTGCTACACCAAGGAACCAGGTTTCTTTGCCACCACCCGGCACTCATCATCTAGTTTGGCCCTTCATGGCTGCAAGATGACTGCAACAGTTCCAGCCATCACATATTTATATGACTCTGGCCAAAGACAGAAAGTGAAATTTCTCCTCTAGTGTCTCCTTTTTATCGGTAAGGAAACCTTTCCAGGAGTCTCACAGCAGAAGCCCTCTGCTGTGGTTTGAATATGTCCCTTCCAAAAGTAATGTGTTAAAACTTAATGGCCGGCCAGGCGCAGTGGCTCATGCCTGTAATCCCAGCACTTTGGGAGGCTGAGGCGAGCAGATCATGAGGTCAGGAGATCGAGACCATCCTGGCTAACATGGTGAAACCCTGTCTCTACTAAAAATACAAAAAATTAGCTGGGTGTGGTGGCACATGCCTGTAGTCCCAGCTACTCAGGAGGCTGAGGCAGGAGAATCGCTTGAACCTGGGAGGCAGAGATTGCTGTGAGCCGAGATCGTACCACTGCACTCCAGCCTGGGTGACAGAGTGAGACTCCGTCTCCAAAAAAAAAAAAAAAAACCCAACCAAACAGAAAAACCAAACAACCAAACAAACAAACAAAAAACTTAATGGCCAATGTGATAGTATTAAGATGTGGGGCCATTAGGAGGTAATTAGACCTCTAATTATGTCTTAAATTAAGGGCTCCTCCTTCATGAACAGGATTAAGGTCCTTATACGAGAGGGTTCATGCTCTTCCACTTTGTACCATGTGAGACAGGCATTCCTTCCCTCCAGTGGATGCAGCAATAAGGTGCCATCTTGGGAGCAGAAGGCAGCCCTCATGGAATAACCAAACCTGCCACCACCTTGATCTTGGAATTCCCAGACTCCAGAACTGTGAGAAATACATTTCTGTTCTTTGTAAATTACCCAGTCTTAAGTATTTTATTATAGCAGCATATACAGACTAAGACAGACAGACTGGGTTACATGGTTTACTTTAAGCCAGTCTCTGCTGAACGAGAATGAATTTCATCTCTTCTGAGGAAAGGCCCATTTTCTGAGCACCAGAGCCTGGAATAAGGTACAGCATTTTAGAAATCTAGGAAAAAACTTTAGGAGGCACTTAATCTCAGGGTCATGCTCTTCCAACAACCCTTTGAGCGCCTCCTGAAATTGTGTGCACCTGTACAATCTTAAGTGTGGTCCTCACTTGCCATCCCAGCCCTGCTCAGCATACTATATCCTCCTAGCACTTGTAAAAAATTAGGAGTTATTTTAGGATAAAATAAGGAGTAGATGGCTTCTGAAATGACAATATTTAAATGTCAGCCACTCTTGACATCAGTCATGTCTCACCCATCAAGCATGCATATAAAGCCTTGGTCTCACTACTAACATGAAGCATTTAACATCTCCGGGCCTTTTTTACTGGATCATCTTCAAGGTTCCTCCTAGCTTTGAAGTCCAGGGAATCCTGTTAGTTATTTTAAACAGATGACATGTATGGCCTTATCTACTGTTAAAGAAGCTGAACAATAAGGAAACTGACATTTGAGTCACAGGAGAAAAAGTCTCATATCTGGCTCCAATCCTTCCCTAAAAACTTCCCCCTCCATTATCACCTCTCCTATTCCCCCACCACCAACACACACATTCTCAATAAATCATATAGCTATTAGTAGCAGAGAACTGTAGTGGACACCATGATACACCACCCGGCTTACCCAGTTCCAGGCCTGAAGCACTCATTTCCTCAGTTGTTGAGACTGTTGGTGATTGACTCCTCTCAGCTAAGTCCATTTCCAGGGATTGTTCACAGCTGGAGAAAGATGCCTCACCCAAAATCACAACTCCTTCTCTGGGACAGCCTGTATCCAGTGATAGTGGGGGTAGTTGTGGGAGGGGTAATAAAGGTCCAGATCTTTACCTCAATTTGAGACCACCCTGAAGGGATATTTCAGCTCCACAATTCTTTGTGGGGTTGGCTGAGGACTCCACTACGAATGCACCAAGTATAACTTATTTTGCTCAATCCTGCTTCCTTCATAACCCCACAGGCGTTGATCCTGAGGCCAGTCCCCAATAAACTTCCTGCATACGATTCTCCACCTCAGTTTCCTTCTCAGAGAATCCAAACTGTGACAAAAACTATAGACCTTTTTGTTGAAACTGGGGCATTTCTTTCCTTTTTTTCTTCTGCTTTTCTTCATTTTTTGTAGTTATCACCTTTAAGTAAAATAACATATAGTAAACACACATAGGTGGACACATTTCTTTGTGCTCAAAGGATATCAATGTTCCCTAAATTATTTTAGTAGAATTAACTTGCTCCAAACAGTACTGCCTGAAATCAAAGCCACATGACACAGATCTGGAGTGGCTTCTCTCTTTGGGTACATGATGAATTCCTCATTTGCAACTGAATACCCTAAATTAGAGTCCTAATCCTGAGAGCCGGTATTCTACTATTTGGAAAAACGTTCCCCCTATTGAGCTCTATGTATACTGAGAAAAAGTCCTTGTCATTAAAACCATTCATTTTTCATAATGCATTTGTGCTGTAACTAAGTAGCATTTAATATTTTCTATTAATCAGTAAATCATATACTTCACTGGGCCTGAAATTAATCCAGAGGGGCATTCTGGCAGCAAGTGAGCAAGTCTCTACCCCAAGGGTCCTGTGTCTGCATTTCTAACCAGAGGAGCTCATGCTGACTGCTGAATTCTTTAGACTGGAACAAAGCAAGGATGATATTTCCACTGGCTGCCTTTATGCTGCCTGACTGAAGTGACAAGATTGCAGTAGATTCATTAAATTTTCAGCTGTTATTCTGGTCAATCATAAGCAATCTATTCGTAACAGTAACGGGCTGTCCAAACAGTGATTCATTACCCAGTTCCTTGATCATTTTAGGTATCAGATGAAATCAGAACCTATTTTATTAATTACAATAACTAAAAACAATGAACAGGCACAGTGGCTCATGCCTGTAATCACAGCACTTTGGGAGGCCGAGGCAGGAGGACTGCATGAGTACAGGAGTTCAGGGCCAGCCTGGGCAACAGAGTGAGACCTTCTCTCTACAAAAAAATAAAATTAGCTGGTTGTGGAAACCACCCCCCCCCCACCCCCCGCAATGTAGTCTCAGCTACTTGGGAGGCTGAGGTAGGAGGATTGCTTGAGCTGAGGAGTTTGAGGCCGCAAAAAGCCAAGATTGCACCACCACACTCCAGCCTGGGTGACAGAGTGAGACCCTGTCTCAAAAAAAAAAAAAAAAAGAATAAAAATAATTGATTAGGAAATCTGTTTTATCTATTTTTTTCAGCATAGTATCCACTCCATAGGGAAGACCCAAATAACTTTCACCTGGATAACAGCATGGGCTGGTTAATATTAAGTCTCAGCTTAATTGAAGGATGCAAAGCATTGTTTCTGGGTGGGTCTGTGAGGGTGTTGCCAGAGGAGATTAACATTTGAGTCAGTGGACTGGGAGAGGCAGACTCATCCTCCATCTGGGTGGGCTGCCAGCGTGGCTAGAACAAAGCAGGCAGAAGGAGGTGGAATGAGCACACTTGCTAAGTCTTCTGGCCTTCATCTTTCTCTTGTGGTGCTGGATGCTTCCTGCCCTCAAACATCAGACTCCAAGTCCTTTGGCTTTTGGACTCTTGGACTTACACCAGTGGTTTGCCAGGTGCTCTTGGCCCTTCGGCCGCAGACTGAAGCCTGCACTGTTGGCTTCTCTACCTTTGAGACTTTTGGATTCGGACTGAGCCACTACTGGCTTCCTTGCTCCTCAGCTTGCAGACGGCCTATTGCGGGACTTCACCTTACGATCATGTAAGTTAATTCTCCATAATAAACTCCCTTTCATATATACATATATACTATTAGTTCTGTCCCTCTAGAGAATCCTGACTAATACAGAGCATTACTGTCTTAAATGGTTCTTCACACTCCTGTCTCTTCAGACACTGTAATACTCATGGCTGAAAAGGGGTTCTTTATAAAGCCTAACTTAACCTAATGCAAACACTGGTAACAGAAATGGAGTGATCCTGTGACAAAAGGAACAAAAATATGTGGCATCACTTCTGGTCAGGAAGCTTTATGGCAAGGAGAAATGAACAGGTGAAATGGCTAGAGATCTATTTGATTCAATAGCAAAACACTTGGTAACAGTATCAGTGCATTAACTTAATTGCAGATGGAAAGGCTACGTAGTGTTATAATGGAAGAGGGTAGAAAATTAAGTATTAGTAGCATGTGTTAGGTTCTATTGACGCTGTTTGGCAAGATATTATATGAGAAATATGACCAAAGAAGTAAGTGGTTAGTTTCTGAGAAGAAATGAAAGGACAAAAGATGATCCAGAAATCAGGGGTCTTGCAGATTTGGAAAAGCCATTTGCTTGTGTAACATGAATGATACGAGACAGTGTAGAACAGGACTAAAGATTCAAATGCCCAATAAAACTCAAAGTGACTCTAGGCAAATATCAAATTAAGGGGATGGCCTTTCCATGTTTTCTTCTAAATAGTTTTGACCACAAATTGAGAAGTATGGGAGTAAAGAGGCAAAGAAATAAGGAACATTTGAGAATTATGTCTAGAAAAATTTTTTCTTCTAGTTACTGGCTCACAAAACTAACTGGATGCAAACAGATGACTAAATTTAGAGGTAACTGTGCTGTGAAAGGAACCATAAGCCTAAACTCAAGTGCCTTGGACTATTCTAGACATAAATAAACCTGGGTCCTCCAACCTCCCATGATTAGGAAGCTGACTTCAAAGGCTCTGTAGCACCTAAAGAGAGCTTGCTCTTCAACATGCATTTCAGAAGTGGCCAAAGACAATACTATGAACAAGGTACAGCTCCCCAGAGGGTAGATCCACGGGCCATGGCGATCATAAACAAAGGAGTTCCTTCAGAGGGCAGAATCAGAGTTTAATCAAGGAATTTCCTTCCACCAAAGAGAGAGCACCTGCATAGCAGCTTCCCAGGGAGATTTCAAAATGATCACAACCCAGTCAGTGGCTATTCTGTGTCTCCCATTCTTCCTCTTTCTAAATGGGAATGGTATTAACTTTTACTGTGGTTAAAGACTTGCACACTTCAGTAGCTTATAAGAATAAGTGTTTATTTCTCATAGTTTTGTGAGTCAGCTGTGACTCAGTGGGGTTCAGTTTCAGGCTGTGGGGTGCATTTTGGTCAGCTCCACATGTCTATTTCTGGGACCCAGGGTAAAACAGCAGCAACTACCAGGAGTACGCTCTTATCAAAATGCAAGACAAGAGGCCTAGAGTGAAGGCTAAGTCATACAAACACATTTAATGCCTCTAGTCTTGTATGGCATAAGTTATATCTGCTCACATGTCATTAGCCAAAGCAAGGCACATGGCTAAAACCAAAATCAGCACGTTGGAGAAATATCTCTGTCCAGAGTTAACCATTTTGAATAATAGGGGTGACAGGGAATATTGTCAACAGGTATTACAATCTACCACCACGATACTTATTGCAGTTATTTGGTCCTCATTCAACCATTGTATATTAGGCATGTGTGAGTGTGGGTTGATAACCTGTCTTTTAACCATAGGTTGTCAGACAAAATGAGACCACATCTGGGCCAGATAAAGACAACTACATACTATCCTGAGAGTTTTAACTTTGAGCTAGAGACCGTGAGTAGATTATATTTAGGGCTGTATCCCTTAGGGAGTAGGGCAATGTCTTCTGTGAGTAAAGAGATGAAACAGTTTGAGGACTAAAAGGAAGACGCTAGCAGAGATAATGCTCCGTGTCGGAGTGAATATGATTCACCTAATCATTCAGCCATTCTTGTCACAGTGGCACATGTGAGACCTAGGTACAGTTATACATTTATTTCCTAATGTAACCCTGTAGTAGCTGCCATCTTGTCAAGCAGAAACTCCAGTCTCCTGACAAGTCCCCAATTCCAAAATTATATTTTATGAATATCTTAAATGTAGTCAGGAACAATTTCCAAGTTATATGTGCTGCTTTTCTGAAAATTTCTAATCAGTTATCTTTTTTATATGTTCACTCGTCATTTATACTTTAATCTTCTAATTATTTATACTTTCCAGTTAAAACAGACTAATAGGTTATGCTACACAAACACCCCCTTTCCCCAAATCCCAGTAGTCTTTAAGAACAAATGGTGGTTTCTCACTCACACTACATGTTCACCACAAGTCAACTAGGGGCTGTGTTTCAGAGCCTCCTTATCCTCACTTCAGGGCTCCCGCTGATGGAGCTGCCACTATTTGGTAGCCACAACACTGATGATTCTCATAGCAGGTGGAATATCGAATTTGATGAGGCATGTACTGACTCATAATTCTTTTCCCTAGAAGTGATGTATGTGACTTTTGCTCACATTTAATTGGCCAAAACAGGCCATGTGTTCACATCTAGTTCAAACTGGCTGGGGAGTATGATCCTCTGGAAAGAAGGGGAACTGTATCCCAGGGAGCAATAATACAGGTCTAATACAGTTGAACCATCTGGTTAACAAATACAGTTCTCTCCCCTCCCCATGTTGGACACTTGACCCCCTTCTCCAAAGGAAACAACTACTATCCAATCATTGCTTCAAGCTCAAAGTCAAATTTATGAATGCTCAGGGTGATACCTGGTAGTTTCTACATAAGAAATCAACATTCCCAATGTACAAGGTAACATAGGCATAGGATAAACTGCATTAAATTCTGTTCTTCAAAAACAGAAGAAGAGACATATAGCAGCCACCAGGCCACAGCAACAATGAAATCCCATGGGGCAGATGTTTGGAGAGGCCCCTGCCTTAGGCTTAGAGAACTTTCCTGGGAATCGCCCCTGATTGCTTTTCCTTTAAGTGGCTTCTTTGTCCATTGTTTGCCTGTGGCTCTTGTCTCCACTATCCAGGATGTTCTTCCTTTTCGATTATGCTGTAAGTCATATATAAAGCTAGTACAGTAAAACTGCCTTCCATGGAAATCTAGTAGTTTTGTGTACTGCTTCTCATCCAAGAGAGGTTGTTTTCCTAAGTATAATTTTAAGCTTCAGTCACAAACTATTTAGTCCAGGCTCATGGTCTCTTTGGCAGTACGTATTTTTTTTTTTTTTTCAAAAACTTAAGTCAGTTTCTTAGCAACTGCGTTCCAATCAACTCTATATGCTATTAACAATATCTACACCTGTTTTCTAGATCCTTCCCCCCGCCAAATAAAGTTTCAGTAACTTGAGTCCATCAGTTTGGGAGAGCCATACTTTCAATCTCTTTTTCCTGAGCCATTTTGCCCAAATGAAGAGTGTCATACACTTAATTTAACCTCTACTCCATTTTAATCTATCAATAATTTTCAATAGTGCATGTAAGAATTATACCCTTAATTTGATATTTGCACTGAGATAATAGGTTAAAAGATTTTAACAATGTTATCAATAGGTAACAAGACCATATTGTTCCTCTTTTCCTTGGTAAAGGCAAGTCTGAGATCAAATCTGCTTGTATTGTTCAAAAACTTCCTCAATTTTATGTTGCACTGTTTGAAGGTTGAATTCAACTTTCAGCCCTGTAAGTACACAATTTCTAAGACTCTAATTTTTTCCACTCGTGTTTAAAAATCAGCTAATTATCTTATCAAGCTCATATCTTTTTGTAATAATCTGAGAAATTTAGATATAGAGTTGCCAATACCTGGAACTAACATTCCGTTTCTAAGCCTCTTACCCTAAAACAACATGTTCATTACGTGCATGATCCGCCTTTCAGGCTATTGTAGATCACAGTTTTATACTGAAATGTTCTCTATTACTTGCTATGTCTCACCAACTTTCTAGCTTCTGACAGCTCTCATTTCCCAGAGCACAACCTTTAAATCAATGCCAAATATTTGTAGATTTGGGTGCAACCACACCCATATTCTACTGTGGATTTCAGTATGAGTCAGGATAGGTTAGGCTAAGCCATGGTATCTGCTATGGTCTGAATGTTTGTGTTCCCCAAAAATTCATGCATTGAAACTTAATTCCCAGTCCAGTGGTGTTGGGAGGTGGGGTATCTGTGAGGTCATTAGGTCATGAGGGCAGAAGCTCTCATGAACAGGATTAGTGCCCTTATAAAAGAGGCCCAAGAGAGCCTGTTTGTTCTTTCTGCCATGTGAGGACACATAAAGGTGCTGTCTATGAGGAACAGAGCCCTGACCAGACACCAAATCTGTGTTTTGATCTTGGATTTCTCAGCCTCCAGATTATTGAGCAATAAATTTCTGCTGTTTATAAATTACCCAATCTATAGTATTTTTGTTACAGCAGCCCAAATGGACTTAGACAGTATCAACAACACCCACACTTCAGTGGTTTAAAACAAAAGTTTAATTCTCACATTGTATTTTAATCCTGGGTTGGTTGGGAGCAGATAGTATTCAGAATATCACTGGTTGCTGCAGAATAAGGTAAACAGAACACAACAAATCAAAACATAAATCTTAAAGTGTCTGCTTGTGACATACTTCATTGACCCAACCAAATCATATGGCCATGTCTGAGCTCACCAGGGTGGTAAAGCATTTTTCTCTTACAGGGAAGAAAAACAGATGTGGTGAAAATTCTACTATAATATCATTTGCCTGCTTTTTCCTGTTGTATTGTCATTTTATAACTAATTGATTGGGGCAATATGCAGATTAGCAATGTTAACCCTGTGTTTCCTGTGTTTCATGCTTTCTCCAACCTTGAAGTTGTCTTTTAATTTTGCTTACAATAAATTATGGTTTTTTTAATGCAGAAATTTAGATTTGGATGTAAGTAAATATATCAGATTACTCTTTCTTTTTCCCTTCCTTCTTCCCTTCGTGTCTTCTGGGCCTCAGATGTTTCTGGGGAATACCGTAGCAACCTCAAATATCATACAGTTGGTCTGTTATAGATTCTTCTCTGTTATTGCATACTTTACAAAATGATTTGCTCTTCAAACCAATTGCAATTATTTTTGTGTTTTTAGATGGTGTCATACCAGAGCTTTCCTTCTCACCCCTAAATATGTACTTGATAGACAACTGTATCAATAGTATTTATTGGGGAAAACATCTCATAGCCGGCCTAATAGGTAGATAGATGGCAGAAAGGTAGGTGTCCCACTAGTCCAACTGTTTCTCAAGAAGCCTGTATTACTAGTATTACTACAGCAGCATCTACTCTATTGATTTCAAGTGTGGGAGTGAGAAGAAATATCTGCTTCCTTATGGAACCCCTTTCCTGTGGCTGCTTTGAGTTTTCCCTTGCTCCAGTTCATTAATCAATATGACACCTTCTGTTTTTCTATATTTTATAAATTACTTAAAATATATGATCTCCTAAAAGCTGTCATTCTTATTTTCAGTGCTATTCTGGATTATTTAAAAATAGTGAATTATAAATTTTATATCTGGCATTTTAATGTAATTTTAGAGAAAGGAAAGGTAAAAATGTATATGCAATATACTATATTAAACCCATCATCAACTTCTTCCAAAACATTTTATCTAGCATGTCTGAACCGTAGATGTCAATATTCCTGGAATTACTTTTCCCATTGACTTCTCTTAGGCCTGTCCCTTCGGCTCACCAAACATGCCTAGACATGCTTAAATGCCAGAAAAGAACCATGCAAGGTTATTATTCAAATGAGTCTGCTACTCTATCAAAATTAGAACTTCAATCTATCTCTGCAATTAAACCAGACATAGTATCTGAAACCTCAGTGTAATAATGGAAGAAAGGGTGCTTAGTTTGGGTATCCTTCAGAAGCAGAGGTGGAGGTAAGGGTTGGCATGGAGATAGAGATCCCAAGGGACTAGAGTGGGGGACTGGGAAGAGTTAAACTCGGAAAGCTGATAAAACAAATCAGGGCTTTGTTAATAGCTAATCATAGCTGTGGGAAACCAAGACTCAATTCTGTGGAAGATCTTAGAAGCCATGAACAATGTGTCTCAGAATTGTGTCCCCAAAGGACAACAGAGGTGAGTATATTCACTGGATTCCTTCCTCCATTGCTCAGAAGTTGCACCTACTGGGTGTTAGTTAAGTCACTCACATCTCCCGCTTTGCAATTAAGGTTGCCAGATTTGTAGAATACAAATAGAAGACACTCAATTAAATTTGAATTTCAGATAAACCACAAATTTATTTAGTATAAATTTGTCTCATACTATATTCGGAAAATACATATACTAAAAATATTGTTTCTTATCTGAAATACAAATCTAACTGGGTACCCTATATTTATCTAGTAATCCTATTTGCAATATAACTGAATAGCTAAGCAGGTTCCTGAAGCAGTGGCAAGTCCCTTGGCAGAAAGCAGAGGTATATGCTATGGCTAAAGTAAGTTGTTATGAGGCCTTCAGCTGGTTGCCAAAGCAGCAACTAGCACTGAAAAAATGGGCCAAGTGTAAGGTGTCTATGGATTTAAAGGTTCCCAAAATAGAACCGCCCTAAAGATTTAGCAACTGAAATTATTAAATTCAATGGGATGGGAAAAATCCAAGCTCATACTAGGTCTAGCACTATACTGAGGGTTGGGAGAAGGTGGAAGATGGAGACAACAGGTTTTCATTGGTGATGGTCTAGTTGGGAAAACAGTGCGGAGAATGGGTTGGAGAGGGATAACTATACCGTGAGCCACTTGAGACCAGAGACCAGGCCTGATTTGTCTTTGTATTCCCTAATATCTAGAATATATCTGGCAGAGAGAAGGCCAGTAAATGTTTGTAAAATAAGCATATAAAAAATGAAGGGATATATGAAAAAGAATAAAAAGGAAAGAAATAAGAATGGATGTTGAAGGCCTGGAGGAAAATTTGATTCTTAATTCAAAGAGATCCTTATGTGAAAAGAAGAGAGTTCTGAAAGTGAGAAAACAGGTTGCCATTTACCCCCATATTTCAAATACAGCACTAAATAAGGCCCTTTAAGTGGAGTTTTTACAGTATGCATATATGTAATATAGCCCATAACCAAGAGGTTCTGCAGGGTAATCACTGATAACCATAATCAGAAAATGTTAACTCTTGTCTCCAATAATTTCCTAAATAATTATATGTAATTTTAAACTGCTTTTACAATTATGAGTCTTGGGTTACTCAGCTATACAAGGATAATGTTGATCCCTCTTATAAATTCATTCTGGATTAAAAAGTAAATATTTACAAAGTGCTAACAAATTTCAAGAATAGTGTGACCACTCTGAGCCTGACCATCATTCTAACAGATGTTCACAAAAGAAAGTTTAGAGGTGTGATAGGCAGAATGTATCCTTCCCCACAAAAGATGTCCACATCATTATCCCTAAATACTAGAAGTGTTTTGTTACCTGGTGTTATGAGTTGACTCATGTTCCCCAAAAAGATATTTTGAAGCCCTTACTGCCAGTACCTCAGAAATGTGACCTTTTTTGGAAATTGGATCTTTACAGAGGTAATTAAGTAAAAACAAGGTGACCCCTAATCCAAGATGACTGGTACCCTTAAAAAAAGTGAAACTTGGACACAGACACAGACACAAGGGGAGGAGATGGACATATGACCAGAGTGATGCAAGTAAACGACAAAGAATGCCAAGGATTGCCAGCAAACACCAGAACCTAGAAAAGGCAAGGAAGGACTCCATCCTAGAGCTATCAGAGAGGACATGGCCCGATACCAACTTGATGTCATACTTCTGACCTCCAGAATCATGAGAGAGAATATATTTTTGTTGTTTTAAGCTGCCTAGCTTTTAGTACTTTGTTATGATTGCCCTATGAAATTAATACAGCTGGCAAAAGAGACTTATCTGATATAATTACAATCATGAAGTCTTAGGGAGATTATCTAGGGCCCAATATAATAATATGAGCCAATAAAAAGAGAACGTTCTCTGGCTTAAGTCGGAAATGCACTAGCAGAAGGACTTGGGGAGATCCAAAGCATGGGAAGAACGCAACTAGTCTTGCCTTTAATAGAGGGGCCCATATAGGATGCATGTGAAGGGATACACATAATCTCTAGGAGCAACTGGCTAACAGCCAGCTATGAAAAAGGGCCACAGTCCTACAAACACAAATAATTCATTTCAGCCAACAAACTAAATGAGCTTGGAAGCAGATTCATCCCTGGAGTCCCCAGGAAGGAATACAAGCCTGCTGACACCTTGATTTTGGCCTTATGAGATTCTAATCAGAGGACCTAATTGAGCGAAGTTGTACCCTGACTTCTCATGGAAAGACCTGTGACATCATAAATGGGTGCTATTTTTTTATTGTGGTAAAATATACATAATATTTACCATTTAACCATTTTGTAAGAGTACAGTTCAGTGGCACTAAGTACATTTATATTGTGCAACCATCACCACCATTTATCTCCAGAACTTTCTCATCATCCCAAACTGAAACTCTGTACCCATTTGTATTAGTCTGTTCTCACACTGCTATGAAACAATACCCAAGATTGGGTGGGTGTATTAGTCTGTTCTCACCCCACTTGCTAATAAAGATATACCTAAGACTGGGTAATTTATAAAGGAAAGAAGTTTAATGGACTCACAGTTCCGCATGGCTGGGGAGGCCTCACAATCATGGCGAAAGGCAAAGGAGAAGCAAAGGCACATTTTACATGGTGGCAGGCAAGAGTATGTGCAGGGCATCTCCCCTTTATAAAACTATCAGATCTGAAGAGACTTATTCAATATCATGAGAATAGCACAGGAAATACCTGCCCCCATGATTCAATTACCTGTCCCTCCCACAACATGTGGGAATTATGGGAGCTACAATTCAAGATGAGATTTGTGTGGGGACACAGCCAAACCATATCACTGGGTAGTTTATAAAGGAAAGATGTTTAATTGACTCACAGTTCTGCATTGCTGGTGAGGCCTCAGGAAACTTATACAATCATGGTCGCAGGCAAAAGGGAAGCAGGTACCTTCTTCACAGGGCAGTAGGATGGAGTAAGTGCAAGCAAGGGAAATGGCAGATGCTTATAAAACCATCAAATCTCATGAGAACTCACTCACTATTGCACTATCATGAGAACAGCATGGAGGAAAAGGCCCCCATGATGCAATTATCTCCACTTGGTCCCACCCGTGGCACTTAGGGATGATGGGGATTACAATTCAAGATGAGATTTTGTGTGCTATCACAGCCAAACCATATCACTATTAAACAAAAACATCTCATTCTTCCCTCCCTTAAACCATGGTGTCTTTCTGTCTACATATTTCACTACTCTAGATACCTCATAAAAATGGAATCCTACAGTATTTGTTCTTTAGTGTCTGGCTTATTTCACTTAGCATAATGTCTTCAAGGTTAAATGGGTGCTTCTATTAAGACACTAAAACAACCTAAATTATTGTTGCTAATTTGTTATAGTAATAGTAAAAACATTATACAGGTGTATACTTCTCAAACAAAAAAGAAGTTGTTTTCACTTTATGTATCAAATATCTCTAAAATATGCTATTTTAAATTTTTGGTTCAAAATAATCTTTATCATCTTTGCATTGTTTTACTGGATCCTCCTGTGCCTCACATTTTGTAAGCCTACATTTCATCTCAACCTTTGCCATGACAAACAGATTTGTTTGGGGTGACCATACAGCTCCTCTTTTCAGTACCCTTTTTCTATCTCTGGGATTGGCCCTAGGGCTTGTAGATTCTGTCACAGTAGGAGCATCTGTGGAAACTGGCTTGGCACTTGCATGCGCTCAAACAGAATTTCTACGGAGCTAGAGCCACATAAGGCACCAGCAACCAATGGGGCAGTGGGAGCTGGTAGGTAAATGCTCCCTTCATCCATCTTTCTAGAAGAGAACTCTGTGGTGCACTATTGTCTCCTCAGAGGGTCCACAGGGACTGAGTCCCTGTTTGACCACAGTGGTAACCAAATCAAGAAAGCATCATTGAATTGGCTTTTCTTCTTTCCTTAACTTATCACGAGTCCTCCATTTCTGTTCTCTCACACACTTCCCAAAATAACACTTCCTGTGAGTCTTTGCCTCAGGCGCTGAATTCTGACGGAAACTCAGATTAAGAGAACTCTGAAAACAATACTTGCTCATTTTGGACAATTTAGGAAAGATAGAAAAATGAAAGGAAAAGAAATCCCTAATCACGTACCCGGAAGCAATCTTCATTAATATTTGAGTTCAGACTCTTTATGAGCCCCTCATGGATCTGCACAATAACCCACCAATTTTGACTCCCCGATTTTGACTCTAATTTTGACTCTGTAGTGCCTGTCTTTGTGAGTAACATGAAATTCCATGCTTGATTTCTTTTCACGGCCTACAGATGAAGTATGTTCAGCACTCCTGAGCAAAAAGGATCTAAAAGGGACGTTTTTACATTTACAATTCAGGCAAATTATTTTGTATCTAACAGGTCTAGATTTCTTTGGTCATTAGGAGAGAAGTACCCACTAGTTATTACATCTGTTCCATAAATTAGTTTTAAGAACTTGGTAAGGGGTGGGCGCAGTGGCTCACGCCTGTAATCCCAGCACTTTGGGAGGCCAAGGTCGGTGGATCACCTGAGGTCGGGAGTTCAAGACCAGCCTGACCAACATGGAGTAACCCTATCTCTACTAAAAATACAAAATTAGCCGGGCGTGGTGGTGCATGTCTGTAATCCCAGCTACTCGGGAGGCTGAGGCAGGAGAATCGCTTGAACCCGGGAGGCAGAGTTTGCAGTGAGCCGAGATCACGCTGTTGTACTCCAGCCTGGGCAACAAGAGGGAAACTCCGTCTCAAAACAAAACAAAACAAAACAGAAACCAACTTGGTAAGAGGATAGTAAAAGACCTTTCCTGGAGCATTGAACATAGTGTCCTAAATGTGATTTTTGGTACTTTTCCTTGCTTTTGAAAATACAACTGAGACCTTACAGGCACACTTGCCAAAAACTAATTCTAAAATGCAGTTGCAACTCCCATGACTACAATGACATGAGGATCATTTGGAAGAGTACATACCTCAGATCATGTGAAATAAAACTCCCATCCCTGATGATGGCATGATCCGTTCATTAAAGAGCAAGCAAGATGAAGTCATTAAGAAAAAAAGATGGAAAACACGGGAAAAGCAAAGCATTTTTGAGGGAATAAAAGAACAAATCTTTACACATTTTGCCTTTCTAGAAATATTTCATGTTATACAAAAAGTTATTTTCAGAAAGAGATTTTCCCAGAGGTGCTAAGAAAACAATGTTAGTGAATACAAAAGTAGGCATGCTCCGGCTCATAGGCCAAGGCCTGGCACTTGCTGGTAAATGAGCACCTGCTGGAAAGTCAGTATTTCAAATCCCTAGATGCCCAGCCTCATTTTGTTGCGTGCGGGAGTTTTCTCAATTTCTGTTGAAAAGGAAGTGGGAGAAATTCAGTCCCCTTTGTGAGAAATCATGGCAGGAAAATGGAGCACCTTCCCGAGGCAAAAGGGGAGGAATGGAATTGTTGCCAGGAGACCACAGCTGCTTTCCTTTCACAGCAGAGCCACTCTCCTTTTAGTGAAAAATGTGTCCGTGATGTTGATATATGGCTAATAAAGTGTATAATTAATAATTCAGGAAAATAAAATAAAACTCATTCTGGAGTGAAAAACTGTCCACTTTATAAAATCTGTGCACGATAAATGTGACAGCAAAAGACCTGGACAAGTGGATAATAATTTATTCATAAGGCACCTCTGTGTGCTTTTCTATTTGCCCTTTTATTAAAAGAGTGTGTGTGTGTGTGTGTGTGTGTGTGTGTGTGTATTTTATAAGAAAGTTATTGGTCGGGCGCGGTGGCTCATGCCTATAATACCAGCACTTTGGGAGGCTGAGGCGGGTGGATCACCTGAGGTCAGGAGTTCAAGACCAGCCTGGCCAACATGATGAAACCCCATCTCTACAAAAAAAAAAAAAAAAAGAAAAAAAAAATTAGCCAGGCATGGTGGCAAGCCCCTGTAATGCCAGCTACTTAGGGGCCTGAGGTGGGAGAATCGCTTGAACCTGGGAAGCAGAGGTTGTAGTGAGCCGAGATTGTGCCACTGCACTCTTGCCTGGGCAACAAGAGCAAAAAACTCTGTCTAAAAAATAAAAAAGTACTATCAGAATGAATGATACATATGTTTATTGGTTGCTGTGCTTTCTGGGAGATCCTTAACATTCTCCTTATATGTATTGTGTCCCCAAAGTAGTTCTCTTGCCTCTTGTATTAACACTCACATAATTTCATAGTGAGAACAATTTCCACTTCAGTTTTCTTACTTGGCATGTGGTCTAAATTAGCCAATTTGTATGAGAAGTAATAACTCAGCACACTTCTCTACATATTTGTCTCTGGGGAAAATTCAGTGGAGCTCCCGGGCATACTACACTTTCAAGGTTTCTTCCATTATATTATACTCAAAGACAGTTCCACAACAGCCAGAGTATGGAGAGCCTTCAGGTTTCCTTGCACCACCTTCTTAGATCCTCTGTGGTAGCAAAATAAATATTACACTAGGGAAGTACTGCATAAAGACCTGGAGTACATGCAGTGTTGGGAGCCAATCTATTATAGCCTTGTTTTACTCAATGGATTTACCCAGCAGCCCAACAGGGCTTCTGCCTCTTCCCAGAAAAAAAAAAAAAAAGTTGACAGCTATACAAATATGGTACTCGTGGATTGATACCAACACCTATTATTATGGCTACTTCAAGCCTTCAAATCAAGAGGAAAGACTACGGAGGAAGCAAGCCTTAAGAGAAGAGAAGGAATTTGTAGAGGATGACTCTACACATTTGGGGAAGTGGGGTGGGTAGAGAGGAGGGACACAAGGGGGTAGGGAGGGTGGGTAGAGAAAGGAGAAAGAAGGTGGTAGGGAGTGGGTAGGGAGAGAATAGGGGTAGGGAGTGGGGAGTACCGCGAGGCAGAGTGGAGAAAGGGGGAAAGAAGGGAGAGCAGCAACGACTGGGTTTAGTAGGGCACATTAAAAGGCTATTGTAGTTGTTCACCAAAAGATACTATCAACGGAGTGAAAAGACAGTGTGTGAAATGGAGAAAATATTTGCAAATTATATATTAATAGGTTAATATCAAGAATATATGGAGAACTCTTGTAACCAAACAAAATACAATTCATTTCAAAAATAGGCAGAGAACTCGAATAGACATTTCTTTAATGGAGATATACAAATGGCCAATAAGCACATGAAAAGCTGTCCAACATCTCTCATTTTCAGGAAAATACAAGTCAAAACCACAATAAGGCACCACTTCATACCCATTAGAACGGCTACCATAAGAAAAACAGAACATAACAAGTATTAGTGAAGATTGAAGAGAATAGAACCCTTATGCGCTGCTGGTGGGAATGTAAAACTGTGCAACTGCTGTGTAAAACAGTATGATAGTTCCTCAAAAAATTGAATATAGAATTACTATAGGATCCAGCAATTCTACTTTTGGGTATAGCCCCAAAAGAAATGAAAACACGAACTTGAACAAATACGTACGTACCCATGCTCATAGCAGGATTATTCACATTAACCAAAAGGTAGAAGCAACCCAAATGCCCATCAATAGATAAATGAATAAATAAAATGTGAGATATGCATACAGTGGATTGTTATTAAGACAAGAGAATTCTGACATGTTACAACATAGATGAACTGTGAAGATGTTACGTTAAATGAAATAAGATGGTCACAATGGGATAAATACCCTAAGATTCCACTTATATAAGGCACTTAGAGTAGTCAAATTCATGAGAGACAGAAAGTAGAGTGATAGTAGCCAGGGGCTGGGAGAGGGAGGAACGCATAGCTGTTGTTTAATGAGTACAAAATTTCAGTTTTACAAGATAAAATAAGTTGTGAAGATAGATTGTGGTGATGGCTGCACAGCAGTAATAGCACTGAACTGTACACTTCAAAATGGTTACAATGGTAAATTTTAAGTTATGTATATTTTAACACAATTCAAAAGTAAACATATCAAAAAAAGTACAGAAATTCGTCTCAGAGAGTTATGCTAATGAATGAAAGAGGAAATTTTCCAGCAATGTCAACAAGCTCAGGAGATGCAGTTTTTAATCCAAAACGAGCCAAGCATTCTTGTATTTTAAAAATTCATGTTTGATTCTTCTTCTGTAACTAGTCCTAACAACTTGTCCTATAAAGTTATAGTTATGTTAAATTACATTTTAATAAAATAAAAGGTTATTGTAGTAGTACAAAGCATGAAATGGAAAAAAAATAGGACTTAACATATCTTGAAGGGAAAATCTGCAGAGCCTGATGAATTAAGTAGTAATTCCACGGACCTATGGTGAAAGAACCTATACATTTGTAAGCATTTGTAGGTGTGTTTAGGTGGTGTTTGAAGGTTAGATTATTTTCAAGAAATTATATAGAAACAACCACCATCATCTCATGAGAAATTCCTGTTTCTGGTTCTCCCTCAGAAAGACCAGATCATGCTCTGTTTAGTAGGCGTGATATTTAGGAATACCTATTATGCTAACCCAGATGGTGATTTTACCTTGAGCACATATCTTTTGAGTACTTCAGACAGAATTATATTAACAAGTCTAATTGACCAAATGTAAAATTCAGCATTCTCACAGTGGCTGGTAAGAGAAGCAGATGAATCCTAATTTTCCTCTCCTGGCAGTGCCAAGTACTACCCTTCTGAATGTGGTCACCACACTTAAGATGCTAAAAATGAGGAAAAGGCTTCCACCCCAGTGCCTCAATTCTGCTCCCTGCCTACCAGAAAACACCTAGGTGCAGATCATGCAGGCTGACATTAGCAGTATTTCTTCTCTGCAATTAAAGCAACAGCATACGTACAAAACTCTACCCTATGTTGTGTTATGAAGGGATCGTCACTCTATGTATATATATATGTGTGTGTGTGTGTGTGTGTGTGTATCCACAAACATATATATGTGTGTATGTGTGTATACACAAAAATATACAGTACAAAGACATAAAAGAAACCAAGATATACACACATAAGCAAATATATATTTTTGTTACTAGCCATAACCTATTGCTAGTTCTGTAACTAGCAATAACCTTAAAAATGCCTACTGGGACCACCTTTAACTAAAGAAAGTCTTTCTACCCGGACATCCATGTCCTCCCTCCACACTCCAATGTAGCTTCCTATAGCAATTCCATAGGATGCTGATGCCCTGAATTGCTGTCCACAGAGATAAGCCCATTTATCAACAGGAGGGGGAGTAATAGGGAATTGCTGATGTTGGCCCCAGAGTAAAAATGTTCTAAACACCTGAGCTCCCTATACACACACATGTTGCAAGAAAGGAGCCATTATGGGACTAGGTAAGAGCTTCAGAATTTAAAGGGATGCCCACAGAATTATCATTTGGGTGGAAGATTTCTGTTGTTTATCTAGAGACCCAAGAGTAAGGGAAGGAGCCAACTGAATGTGTGCTCACTCTTTCCCACTCTTAGGAAGCATATTTTCAGGAAAACGCAGTAGGACATAGGGCCTGGATATGCCAAACTATGCAAAAAATCAACAAGAATTGGAATGTTAATGAAAGAATCATCTCCTGCAACTATAAAAAGAAGCTCCTATGTTTGGGAAATACCGATGCTTTTATTTATCAGTTTTATGTCTTCTGTAAGACTGTTTTTCCTACTGCTATTTATAGGTCAATTTATAAATCATAAAATGTACTACATCCCACATGCAATGTTTTAATATCAGTAGTAACTCTCATAATTCCTTCATAATTTTCACTAAAAATGAAGACTTTTTTTTCCACTATATTCCTATATTACATGGCCCGGGGCTTTCAGTTTACTGGGTGTTAAATCCCAAGAGATCAGATTCATGTCTCAGACTGCCACTTTGTAATGTCAAATGATACGCTGAGAGAATCATTCACTTGAACTTGTTCTTATCACCGCTGACAAAAGGTGAAGGGGAAAACATGTACATAGATATGATTTTGTTGGCAGCAATTAATATTACTGTAAATCCCATAGTCATGGTTAGAAATGGAATAAATAGAAGTGTAATTATTTAATACTCTGGAATCCATTTATCCTTTGGAAATGTATTAAATTTTTGAATAAGAGCAGTATGGTTGGATTCCAAATCTATTTGTTCCTAAAAGCATCCTTCTCAGGATTAAAAAGAGCCAACACCTTTAGTGTCAAGTGTAAGGTCACATCTTACAGGAAACCATTCTCTCTGAGTTCCCCTTACAAGACTGATGTTGAATTAGCAGTGTGTTCTATATCTGTGTAGCATAGAACAATCAGCTATCTGGGTCATGGGCTATAGGATCTCAGTACCTGGGGACTTGACTGAAGCGGAGCAGCAGCGGAAGCACATGTTGCTCCTACATCCAACCAGTCCAGCTCGGCATTTGGGTCCCAGTCTGATTTTTATTGGGATGGGTACACTTTATAAAGTAAACAGTGAAGCCTCAATAGGAGAGGTCAATTAAGGGATTCTATCAGTAGATCGCCACCTGACTGCTCATAAGGGTCACCAGGGGTAGAGGGTGGGCTGAAAAACGCCAATTCCTGTGGTCTCACCCAGACCAATTAAATTAGAATATCTGGGGTGGTTTCCAGGAAATCAGTATGTTTCAAACGTTCCCTTTGTGATTTTAATGTGCAGCCTGGGTGGAGAACCACCTTTTTAGATGTTTCTCAAGCCTTATTATGGGGAATAGAGGATACACCTATAACCTAATTCTTAAAAGGTTGTCTGGGGAAGCCAGCATTTAAAGGTGCTTAGTCCAGGACATACAAAATAAATCGGTTTTCATCAAGGACTTTTTTTTTTTTTTTTTTTTTTTTTAAGCAAGCCATGCTTCCAACTAAAGGCAGCTGCTTTTAAATTCTTAGGGCTGACTTGCCTTTGACTTCTGTAAATTGGCCTACTTCTTCCTTATATAACTGTCTATAGAATTTTTATAACCATATACCCTAAAAGAAGATGGATTTCTCTTCCACACTCTTCACCCAGCAGCTAATTTATTAACACGAGTTTGGTATCTACCTCAAATTTCATGATTTATCAGTTTTCCACAAATGGTGTTCTGAGTTCCCAAATGTAAATAAATACATATACAGTCATTAATTAATTAGCAAAGAACTATAAAACAAAACAAAAACCAAAGTAAATGTCAGTGATGGAAACTTTCCCCTAATTTCCCATCCCATCTCTCCTGCTGAATTAGTCTGGCCCTTTGTCCCAAAGCTATTTCCTGGCTCCTGAACCAAGTTCTTGCAAAAGGACGGTACTAGTCCATTTTCACACTGCTATAAATAATATCTGAGACTGGGTAACGTATAAATGAAGGAGGTTTAATTGACTCACAGTTCCACATGGCTGGGGAAGCCTCAGGAGTCTTACAATCATGGCAGAAGGGGAAGCAAGAACCTTCTACACAACAAGACAGGAAAGAGTGTGAGCATGTGAAGGAGCAATTCTCACTTATAAAACCATTAGGTCTCCTGAGAACTCACTCACTATTACGAGAACTGCCCCCGTGATCCAATCACCTCCCTCCCTTGAAACGTGGGGATTACAGTTAGGGATGAGATTTGGGTCCCCACACAGAGCCAAACCATACCGAGGACACTCTGACTTTGGCAGTGATAACTTTGTTACATGGACAAAACAGCATGTGCTGACGTAAAGCCTTCTAGCACTGTGGTTTCTTCTGACAAATTAACACTAAGCCAACTCAATGTGTTCTTAGAAATGTCAGTGTATAAGAAAAGATGCATGTTGAAGCCTCATCCATTGGCTGAGGGAGTGGAGAGTAACAAGAAACAGATTTTACTGGTAGAGACCCTTAAGTTGAATTTTAAAAGGTAAGGGATCCGGTGAAGCCAAATGGGAGTGTAGTTTCAGGCAGGTGTGAAGGGGATGTTTATTTTATGCCACTGGAATCAAGGCAGAGATAATAAATAAGGTGGCATGCTCAGACTAGAAATGGCTAGAAAACAATTCGCAAGGGAGGTGGAGAAGGCATGGTGAGAGAAAAGCCTGGAGAGTCAGGCAGGAAACAGAGATGAGTGCAAAGGAGACAAGATGAGAAGCATGAAGACCACTCAGGAAGCTACTGTAAGATCCAGGCAGAAGTTGATAAGGGCTGAACCTAGGGTGGTGGCATTGAAAACAGAGAGGGGCTAATGGTTTAGTCATATCAAGTACATGGAATGGAGGTGACTTAGTGATGGGCAGAATGTCTTCAAGTCCCTAGTATGTCTTCCAGATTTCTGGCTAGGGACGTGGCTAAAGGGAAAGAGCCACTCACCATGTTTCCCACTTTCAGCAATGGGGACCTGGCCAAGGTGATCAGTTTAGGGTATGTTTGTCAGGTAAAATAAGGATCCTCCAGTTAAATTTAAATTTCAGATAACCAACAAATACATTTTTAGCATACAATACGTGAGATATGTGCTAAAGGAAGGTCAGAGTTAAGATGGCCTATAGTTAATGAGATAGCAGAGGTGATGGAAAGGCAGGACTAGCCTTGAGTTGAGAAGTTATTTTTTCATAGGCACTAGAAACAGCAAAGAGTCAACAAAAGATCTTGCTGTTGAGCACTTACAGTGATAACTTTGCTTACTCTTACTGTACCATATATATGTTAAGTTTTTCCATTTCAATCTGATAATGGGCAATTGACTTCATGTTGCCATAGTGAAATATTCAACTTGGGCTTAAGAAACAGTACTGTGGAAGTCAGGAAAAAATAGAATCTTACTGACAGCACATTTAGGTAGCAATTTGTTTTTCAAGATATTCTGGTCATATTTAGACCTAGAAAATCATTATTTCCTTAAAATGTACTCAACTGGTTTGATGTTCCTTACTATAAATTTAGTTCTGGAAACGTTAATGCCCATGCTTCATTCTTTCTCCTTCTCATTAAAGTGAGATTTTTCTTCTTAGCAAATCTGACTTAAGTATGCACTTGGGAAATCAATTTTTATAGTGGCAGGAGGAAGTGGCTAAGCTGACAAGAAAGACTCTTTTCCTCACAATGTGTTATCTTCTAGAAAAATACTACCTAGTTATTGTTTACTAAAATATATCTAAGTGAAAATAGACACTTTCTTTCATTTCTCTAGAACAATGATAGCAGAGTAGATAGTATGATACATTTTGTATCAAGTTAAAACATAAATGTCGGCCGGGCGCGGTGGCTCACGCCTGTAATCCCAGCACTTTGGGAGGCCAAGGCGGGTGGATCACGAGGTCAGGAGATCAAGACCATCCTGGCTAACACGGTGAAACCCCGTCTATACTAAAAATACAAAAATTAGCTGGGCACGGTGGTGGGCACCTGTAGTCCCAGCTACTCGGGAGGCTGAGGCAGGAGAATGGCGTGAACCCAGGAGGCGGAGCTTGCAGTGAGTGGAGATGGTGGCCACTGCACTTCAGCCTGGGCTACAGAGCAAGACTCCGTCTCAACAATAAATAAATAAATAAATAAATAAATAAATAAATAAATAAATAAATGTAAAGGAGAATGGGAGAAACAACCTACGAAAAACTACTGATTGAAATCTGTAAGGCCGATAGAAGCCACATGTTGTAGGAATGATCTTCAGGATCGAGAGATTTCTGTAGGCTGGGCTGCCAAGTGGAGGCATACAGAAGTGGGATCCTGGAGCTGAATCTTAGAGAATGGGTAAGATTTAGGTATATCATATAGAGTGCAAGATGGACATTCTGAGAGGAAAAGCAGCTTGAGCAAATGTAAGATATGTTTGGATTACTAACTTTCCTGAATCAGGGAAATTGTGTAGGGGAATCAGAGGGATCAGTTTGGATAGAAATGTGATAATAAAAGGTCTTGAAAGTTATCAGAGGGGTTTTGGCAAGAAGAAATAATCCTAACCACTATTTTTCTAAGATTATTCTGACAGTGATATGGATGATGAATTAGAAGAAAGAGATAAGGAAACCAGCTGGATGAAGCACCTGGTATCGCTCAATTATGCTAGACAGAAGGGAGTCCTCTGATCTGCATTCTTGAAACGTTACTTGACTATCATTGCATGCTGCTCTATCTATAGGGCAGGGGTCAGCAAACAGTATCTGTAAAAGGCCAGAGAGCAAATAGTTTAAGCTTTACAAGCCATAAGGCCATCTCTGCATCTTCTATGCAACCCTGCCTCCAACTGGAGCAAGAAAGCAACCATAGACAATAGTGGGAAGAAATGGGTGTTTGATCTTCCAACACAATTTTATTTACAAAACTAGGCAGTGTGGTGGATTTGGCCTGTGGGCTGTAGTTTGCCTTGTTCGGCTCTAGGATATTGGGTAACTCCAGATTTATGAAGCTCTTGGACAACTTGAATGGAAAGTACATCTCTGTAATTTTAGTTGTCTATTTTCCTTGTTACTCAGTCAGGTAAACTCCTTATTCTATAAACAACATATATGGGAAGGGAAAATTCTTTCTTAGATTTGTCTCACCTGGAGTGTAATTATTGCCACTATTTTTACTAATATAGTGTTATCTAATCATGTGTCTCATTGTTTTTATAAATCATATCCCTGTGACTGAGACAATAAATGGATAAATGACCCTTGTAGAATGTGAGTAGAGGTGGGACAACTTAGCATGTGGAATAAAAATTATCCAAATGTGTCTTGAAATGTTAGGGTAATACAAATATAGGACCACTTGTATTGTTGCGATATCAGGCAAATTTCTGGATATCTGTCAAATGCATGGATATTTTGGTTAAGGGTCAGTTGATTCCTTTCAGCAACTCCTAGCTCCCACCCCTAAAAGTAAGTGGAGTATGCAGAGGTGGGTTAGCAGAGCTAAGGATTAGGTATAGGAGAATGAAAAAGAGAGAGAAAAAGGAAGAAAGTTAAAAGAGATAAATAGGTAAAGAAACTAGTGGTAGAGAGGAGGGCTCCAGTTTCTGGTTTGCACAAAGTTGTAAGTAGATCCATGTGTTTATAAGGAAGGCTAATAAAAGAAAGTTTGCAGAGAGGCTGATTGGAATTCTATGATTCGAGGACATTTCTTTCATTCATCTCAGTCTAGTAGGCACTTGTCCCAGGTTTTGTGCTAGGCTCCAGTTATACAAAAATGGCTGCTGTTACCAAGAGGCATGCAGTCTGGTAAAAGAAGTTAATCCAAGCCCCACATAATACCACATTTTCTGAGTATATCAGTACATAACAAATGTTCTAGAAAGATTAATGCCAAACCAAATCTGTAGCAATTGTTACCCCTTTGAGAATGGCATTGAGGGTGGTGGGTATATATATGTATACATATATATATATATACACACACACACACACACACACATATACATACACATACATGTATAAAATATATATTTACGAGGAGAATGTATGTATTACTTATGGAATTAAATAATTGAAAAGGAAGGTGAAAAGAACTACAGGAGGAATATAGACAAATGCAAGAGGAATTTGACTTTGACTTCAAGGGAAGACAATGAAATCATAGACCAGTGCTGCCATAGAAAAGTCACAGAGGACTGGATCAGACAGACTGGCACCAAACACTCTGACACTTAAGCATGACCCATGAAAATCCAACTTATCTGAGTCTCAGTATCTTCTTCTGTGAAAAGTGAATAAGTGGGATTTTCATGGGTCATGTTTAAGTGTCAGAGTCTTTGGAGCCTTTAACATGATCATGATTTCCTATTTTTCTCTTCATTAATAAACATCTAACATGTGAGACCTTAAATTAGGTGCTAAGGATACAAAGAAAAATCGGATTATCATCCTTGCCCTCAAGGGGCTCTCAGTAGTGTTGAAAGATAATGTAACTGCGGCAAATGAAGGAGTTCAGGAAATGCCACCCCAAAATATGCAACTTTGGTATGCTGATTACTTTAGATCGAAGGCACTTGAGGAATATTTAGTTAATGCAGGGAGGGGCTTTCTTTGAACTTCCTTATCTGCCTAAAAATGGATCTGTATTATCATAAATCATCTCCCTGGTAATTTTATCAACCCTGAAAGGTTAACTCTTTGACACTACCCCCAGACAGACCATCACTTTTTCTTCTGAAGGATGCTCCTAGACAACTTTTATTACTTGAGAGATGTTTTCTCTGCATAATAAGACCATCTTTATTTTCCATATGATTCTTCCTGTTACCCTCTCATAACTTGTATTGCCAGCACCCCTCAGAAGTCTCAAGCACTTATTCTTTTAGGTAGCTCAGGGTGCTAATAAGTGCCAATCTTCTGACCCTTCTGGGAGTCCCATATCTTGTGGACTCCATGCATAAATACATAACTAAATATATTTTTCTCATGTTAATCTGTTTCTGGTCAATTTCATTCGTAGCCCACCTAAAGAACCTAGAAGGGTGGAGGGAAGTCATTTTCACTCCCCTACACAAGCATAATTATCAGCTATAAGATCCAATAACCAAAATACCACATGAAAAGTATAAGAAGGATAAATGAAGTGTTATACAAATGCAAAGTTTTTTTTTAATGAGGAGTGACTGTAAGGCTTAATGAAGAAGGGAGCGTTTCAGCTGAACCTTAATTGCATACCTTGAGGTTACTGCAGGTTCAATTCTAAACCACAGCAGTAAAGTAAACACAGCAGTAATGTAAAGTGAGTCCCATGAATTTTCTGGTTTCTCAGTGCATATGAAGATTTTGTTAACATTACACAGTAGTCTGTTAAGTGTGCAATAGTATTATGTCAAAAAATGTGCATATCTTAATTAAAAATACTTTCTTGCCAAAAATGCTGATGACCATCTGAGCTCTCAGTGAGTTGTGGTCTTTTCGCTGGTGGAGGGTCTTGCCTCAGTGATGATGGCTGCTGACTGATCATGGTGGTGGTTGCTGAAGGTTGCGATGGCTGTGGAAATGTCTTAAAATAAAGTAACAATGAACTTTCCCACATAGATTCTCTCCCTTTTATGACAGATTTACCTGTAGTATGCAGTGCTCTTTGATAGCATTATACCCATATAGAAATTTCAAAATTGGAGTAGATCCTCTTAAATCATGTTGCCACTTTATCAACTAAGTTACTGTAATATTCTAAATCCTTTGTTGTTGGTATAGTTTGGATATATGTCTCCACCCTAATCTCATATTGAGTTGTAATGCCCAGTGTTGGAGGTGGGGCCTGGTAGAAGGTGACTCAATCAAGGGAGTGAATTTCTCATGAATGGTTTAGCACCGTCCTCTTGGTGCTGTCCTCGCAATAGTGAGTTCTTTTTTTTTCTTTTTTTTTTTTTTTTGAGATGGAGTCTCGCTCTGTAGCCCAGGCTGGAGTGCAGTGGCATGATCTCAACTCACTGTAACCTCCACCTCCTGTGTTCAAGCAATTCTCCCACCTCAGCCTCCCAAGTAGCTGGGACTTCAGGCACCCACCACCACGCCAGGCTAGTTTTTGTATTTTTAGTAGAGATGGGGTTTCACCATATTGGCCAGGCTGATCTCAAACTCCTGACCTTGTGGTCCACCTGCCTCGGCCTCCTAAATTGCTGGGATTACAGGCGTGAGCCACCACACTCGGCCAATAGTGAGTTCTCATGAGATCTGGTTGTTTAAAAGTATGTGGCACCCCCCTCTGCCTTGCTCCTGCTCCCACCATGTGAGATGCCACCTCCGCAGAAGCAGATGCCTGTGTTACGCTTCCTCCACAGCCTTCAGAACCCTGAGCCAACTAAACCTTTCTTTATAAATTGCCCAGTCTCAGGCATTTCTTTAGAGCAATGAGGGAATGGACTAATACAGAAAAATTGGTACTGAATAGAGAGGCATTGCTACAAAGAAAATAGAAAATGTGGAACCAGCTTTGGAACTGGGTAACAGACAGAGGTTGGAATAGTATGGAGGGTGCGTAAGAAGACAGGAAGATGAGGGAAAGTTTGGAACTTCTTAGAGACTGGCTAAATGCTTGTGACTAAAATGTTGATAGTGATATGGACAGTGAACTTCAGGCTGCCAAGGTTTCAGATGGAAATGAACTTATTGGGAACTGGAGTAAAGATCACTTTTGTTATGCCTTAGCTAAGAACTTGGCTGCATTATGTACATGCCCTGGGGATCTGTGGAAGTATGAATTTCAGAGTGATGACTTAGGGTATCTGGTGGAAGAAATTTCTAAGCAGAAAGTGCTCAAGAGGTGTTCTGGCTACTTCTAACAGCCTAAATCTGATAAAGGAGCAAAGAAATGACTTGAAGTTCAAGTTTATCGTTAAAAGAGAAGCAGAGCCTGACAGTTTGGAAAATGTGAAGCCTGGCCACATGGCAGAGAAAAAAAAGCTTTTTTGGGGAGAGGAATCCAAGCAAGCTGCAGAGCAACCATTTGCTAGAAAGATTTGAGTAACTAAAAAGAAGCCAAGTGCTGATAGCCAAGACAATGGGGAAAATACTTGAAAGGTATTTCAGAAACCGTCACAGTAGCTCCTCCCATCACAGGCCTAGAAGTCTAGGAAGGAAGAATGGTTTTCTGGGCCAGGCCCAGGGGTGCAGCCTGGAGACACTGCTACCTGCATCCTAGCCACTGGGGCTCTAGCCTCCACTCAAACGGGCCCAGGTACACTTCAGGTTGCAGCTCCAGAGGGTGTAAGCCATAAGCCTTGGTGACGTCCATGTGGTGTTAAGCCTGTGGGTGCACAGAGTGCAAGAGTTGAAGCTTGGGAGCATCCACTTAGATTTCAGAGGATGTGTGAAAAAGCCTGGGTGCCCAAGCAGAAACCTGCTGCAGGCGCAGAGCCCTCACAAAGGACCTCTACTATGGCAGTGCAAAGGGGAAATGTGAGGTTGGAAGCCCCACACAGAGTACCCACTGGGTCACTGCCTAGTGGAGCTTTGAGAATAGGGCCACCATCCTCTGGACCTCAGAATGGTACAATCACTGGCAGCTTGTACCCTGTACCTGGAAAAGCCACAGGGACTCAATGACAGCTCATGAAAGTAGTGCAGGGGCTGAACCCTGCAAAGCCACATGGGTGGAGCTGCCCAAGACCTTGGGAGCCCAACCCTCACAGCAGTGTGCCCTGGATGTTGGACATGGCATCAAAGGAGATTATTTTTGAACTTTACCATTAAATGACTGCCCTGCTGGGTTTTGAACTTGTGTGGGGCCTATAGCGTATTTCTTTTGGCTGATTTCTTCCTTGTGGAACAGGAATGTTTACCCAATGCCCATAACCCCATTGTATCTTGGAAGTAACTCACTTATTTATTTATTTATTTATTTATTTATTTATTTATTTATTTTACAGGCTCATAGGTGGAAAAGATTTGCCTTGTCTCCAATGAGACATCAGACTTTGGACTTTTGAGTTAATGCTAAAATGAGTTAAGATTTGGGGGGACTGTTAGGAAGGGATTTTAAAATGTGAGAAGAACATGAGATTTGTGAGGTGTGGCCAGGGGCAGAATGATACAGTTTGGGTATGTGTTGTCACCTTAATCTCATGTGGAGTTGTAATGCCCAATGTTGGAAGTGAGGCCTGGTGGGAGGTGATTGTGTCTTGGGGGTGGATTCTCCATATAAATGGTTTAGCTGTCTTAAATGGTGAGTGAGTTCTCATGAGATCTGGTTGGTTAAAAGTGTATGGTACCTCCCTCTACTCTGGCTCCTGCTCCTGCCATGTGAGATGCCTGCTCCCCATTCACCTTTCACCATGATGGTAAGCTTCCTGAGGTCTCCCCAGAAGCAGATGCCTTTGGTATGCTTCCTGTACAGCCTTCAGAACCATAAGCCAATTAAACCTTTTTTATATAAATTACCCAGTCTCCAGTATTTCTTTATAGCAATGTGAGAACAGACCAATTCAGTTGTCATTTCAAAAATGTTCACATCATCTAAACTAAAAGTAGATTCCATCTCAAAAAACCACTTTCTTTGTTCATCCATGAGAAGCAACACCTCATCCTTTCAAGTTTGATCATGAGATTGTAGTAATTCAGTTGCATCTTCAGGATCCATTCCTATTTCTAAATTTCTTGCTATTTCTACCACATCTTCAGTTACTTCCTCCATTTAAGTCTTGAACCCCTCAAAATCATCCATGCTGGTTGGAATCAACATTTTCCAAACCTCTATTAATGTTGATATTTTGGCATTCTCTCATGTGTCATGAGTGTTCTTAATAGTATCAAGAATGATGAATCCTTTCCAGAAGGTTCTCAACCAACTTTGCCCAGATCGATCAGAGCAGTCACTATCCATGGCAGCTGTAGCCTTACAAAATGAATTACTTAAATAGTAAGACTTAAAGGACAAAATTACTCCTTGATCCTTGGGCTACAGAATTGATATTGTATTAGCAAGCATGAAAACAACCTTAATCTTCTTTTACAACTCCATCAGAGCTTTTGAGTAAACAGGTACATTGCCAATGAGCAGTAATATTTTCAAAGGAATCTTTTTCCCTGAGCAGTTGGTCTCAAGAGTAGGCTTAAAATATTCAGTAAACGATGTTATAAACAGATGTGCTGTCATCCTGGCTTTGTTGTTCAATTTTAGAACGCAGAAAGAGTAAGCATAATTCTTAAGGAATCTAGGATTTTCAGAATAGTAAATGAGCATTGGCTTCAGGTCAAAGTCACCAGCTGCATTAACCCGTAACAAGAGAATCAGCCGGCTTTTGAAGTTTTGAAGCCAGGCACTGACTTCTACTCTCTGGCTATGAAAGTTCCAGATGGAGTCTTTTTCCAATTGAAGGCAGTTTCATCTACATTGAAAATCTGTTGGTTAGCCACTTTCGTCAGTTACTTTGGCTGAATCTCCTGGATAACTTGCTGTAGATTCTACATCAGCATTTGCTTCTTCATCTTGCACTTTTATGTTATGAATACACCTTTCCTTACATCTCACAAAACAACCTCTGCTAGCTTCAATTTATTCTTTTGCAGCTTCTAACTTTTCTCAGCCTTCATAGAATCGAAGAGAGTTAGGGCTTTGCTCTACATTAGGCTTTGACTTAAGGAAATGTTGGGTTGATCTACGCGGACTATTAAAATTTCTCCACATTAACAATAAAACTGTTTCACTTTTGTATTGGGCTCTTCTTACACTGCTATAAGAAAATATTTAAGACTGCATAACTTATTTAAAAAGCAGTTTAATTGGCTCATAGTTTTGTAGGTTGTACAGGTATGACTCTGGCATCAGCTCAGCTTCTGGGGAATCCTAATGGAGCTCATAGTGGAAGGTAAAGTGGGAGCCTGCACATCACATAGTGAGTGCAGGAGAGAGAGGAGGGAAAGTGCCACACACTTTTAAATGACTACACCTTGCAAGAACTCACCCACTATCATCAGGACAGCATCAAACCAGGAGGGATCTACCCCTCCATGACCCAAAAACCTCCCACCAGGCCCCACAGTCAACACTGGGGATTACAATTCAACATGAGATTTGGCCAGGACATATATTCAAACTGTAATATTCCACCCCTACACCCCCAAATCTCACGTCCTTCTCACAATGCAAAATGCAGTCATCCCCTGCCAATAGTCTCCTAAAGTCTTAACTCATTCCAGCATGAATTCCAAAATCCAAAGTCTCATCTGAGACAAGGGAAGTACCTTCCACCTATTGGCCTGTAAAATAAAAACCAAGTTATTTACTTCTGAGATATGATGGGAGTATAGTCATTGGGTAAACATTCCCATTCCAAAATAGATAAATCAGCCAAAAGAAGGGGTCTACAGGTCCCATGCCATTCTGAAACGAAGCAGGGCAGTCATTAAATCTTAAAGCTCCAAACTGCTCTCCTTTGACTCCGTGTCTCACGTGTCTCACATACAGGGCACGTTGCTGCAAGTGGTGGGCTCCCAAGGCCTCAGTTAGCTCCACCCCTGTGGCTTTGCAGGGTTCAGCAGCCCCTAGGGCTGTTATCACAGGTTGTTGAGGGCCTGCAGCTTTTCTTTGCACAGGGAGCAAGCTGCTGGCAGATCTACCATTCTGGGGTCTGAAGGATGGTGGTCCCCTTTTCACAGTTTCACAAGGCAGTGCCCTCATGGGGACTCTATGTGGGGCCTCAGACCCCACATTTCCCCTCTGGACTGCCCTAGTAGAGGTCCTCTGTAGGGGCTCCACCCCTGCAACAGACTTCTGCCTAGGTACTCAGGCTTTCTCATACAGCTGCTGAAATCCAGGTGGAGGCTGCCACGTGTCCTTCATTCTTGTGTTCTGTATGCCCACAGGCTTAAGCTTACTTGGAAGCCACAAAGGCTTGCATTCTCCAAAGTGGCAGTCCAAGCTGCACCTAGGCCCCTTTGAGTCACAGCTGGGGGTGGAGTGGCCTGGATGTGGAAAACAGTGACCTGAGATTGTGCAAGGCATCAGGACACCGGGCCTGGCCCACAAATCCATTCTTCCCCCTAGGCCTCTAAGCCTGTGATAAGAGGGGCTGCTGTGAAAATCTCTGAAATCTGAAACAGACCTCTGAGGTCTTTTTCCCATTGTCTTGGATATTAGTACTTGGCTCCCTTTCAGTTACGCAAATACCTTTAGCAAGTAGTTGCTCCACAACCTGCTTGAATACCTCTCCCAAAAAGTTTTTTCTTTCTTTGTAACAAGGATAGGCTGAACATTTTCCAAACTTTTACATCTGCTTCCTGTTTAAACATAAATTCCAACTCTATGTCATTTCTTTGCTCCTGGATCTGAGTGTAGGAAGCAGCCAGGCCACATTTGAATGCTTTGCTGCTTTGAAATTTCTTCCACTATATCCCCTAAGTCATGACTCTGAAGTTCAAAATTTCACAGATCCCTAGGGCATTAATAGAATGCAGCCAAGTTCTTTGCTGAGGCCTAATATGCATGACCTTTGCTTCAGTTCCCAATAAGCTCTTCATTTCCATCTGAGGCCTCATCAGAGTGAACTTCACTGTCCATATAACTATTACCATTTTAGTCAAAACCATTTAAGCAGTCTCTAAGAAGTTGCAAACTTTCCTTCATCTTTCTGTCCTCTTCTGAGCCCTCCAAACTCTTCCAACCTCTGCCTATTACCCAGTTCCAAAGCTGCTTCCACATCTTCAGGTATCTTTATAAAATGCCCCACTCTTGGTACTAATTTTCTGTATTAGGCCATTCTTGCACTGCTCTAAGGAAATACTTGAGATTAGGTAATTTACGAAGAAAAGAGATTTGATTGTCTTGTGGTTTGGCAGGCTGTACAAGCATGGCACTGGCACTTGCTTGTCTTCTGGAGAGGCCTCAGGGAGATTATACTCATGGCAAAATGGGAAGCAGGAGCTCATATGTCACACGGTGAGTGCAGGAGCAAGAGTGGGGAGTTCCCATACACTTCGAAATGACCAGATCTCACAAGAACTCATTCACTGTGAGAGGCATAGCATCTACCCATGAGGAATCCACCCCCATGACCCAAACACCTACCACCAGGCCCTACCTCCAATATTGGGATTGCAATTCAACATGAGATTTGGCAGTGACATATATTAAAACTATATCACATTTCTTTTAATTTCCTTCAAGAACTTTCCTTTGCATTGACAACTTAGCTTGCCATTTGGTAGAAGAGGCCTAGCTTTCAGCCTGTCTTGGCTTTTGATATGTCTCCCTCACTAAGCCTAATCATTTCTAGCTTTTCATTTAAAGTGAGAGATATGGCTTTGGTCACCTCAGTCAGTATAGCTATTATAAAACAGTCAAATACTAACAGATGCTGGCAAGGCTGCAGAGAAAAGGGAATGCTTATACACTGCTGGTGGGAATGTAAATTAGTTCAGCCACTATGGAAAACATTTTGGAGATTTCTCAAGAAACTTAACAGAACTACCGTTAGACCCAGCCATCTCATTACTGGATATATACCCAAAGACATAGAAATCATTCTACCATAAAGACATATGCACATATATGTTCATTGCAGCACTATTCACAATAGCAAAGACATGGAATCAACCTAGGTGCCCATCAACGGCATAAAGAAGGTGTGAAAATTATGCCTCATGGAATACTGCGTAGCCATAAAAAAAGAATAAAATCATATCCTTTGTAGCAACAGGGATGGAGGTGGAGGCCACTATCCTAAGTGAATTAATGCAGAAACTAAAAACCAAGTACCACAATGGTAAACACTGAGTACATGTTGAGGCTAAACATTGAGTACATGTAGACACAAAGAAGGGAACATAAAGAGGGGGACACAGAGAAGAGAACCACAGTCACCGGGCCTACTTGAGGGTGGAAGGTTAGAAGAGGGTAAGGATGAAAAAACTAACCATCAGATACTATGCTCGCTACCTGGGTGATGAAATTGTGCACCAAACACTAGCAAAACAAAATTTACCCATGTAACAAACCGGCACATGTATCCTCCCGAACCTAAAATAAAAGTTAGAAGGAAAAAAAAATAAAGTGAAAAATGTTTGACTCTTATTTTCACTTGAATACTTACAGGACATTGTAGGGTTGCTAAATGGCTTCACTTCAATAGTTTTGTGTCTCCAAGAATAGATAGGCTCAAGGAGAGGGAGAGAGAAGGGACAAATGCCGGTTGGTAGAGCAGTTAGAACACACATTTATCAATACATTGTATCCTTTTATATAGGTGTGGTTGGTGGTGCTGCAAAACAATCACAGTAGTCACATCAAAGATCACCAATTATAGGCCAAGTGCGGTGGCTCACACCTGTAATCCCAGCACTTTGGGAGGTCGAGGCTGGTGGATCGCCTGAGCTCAGGAGTTTGAGACCAGCCTGGGCAACACGGCGAAACCCCGTCTCTACTAAAATACAAAAAATTAGCCGGGTGTGGCAGTGTGTGCTTGTAATCCCAGCTACTCAGGAGGCTGAGACAAGAGAATCGCTTGAACACGGGAGGCAGAGGTTGCAGTGAGCTAAGAACGCACCATGCACTCCAGCCTGGACGACAGAGTGAGACTCTGTCGCAAAAAACAAACAAACAAAAACACCAATCATAGATCACCATCACAGATATAATAATAATGAACAAGTTTGAAATATTGTGAGAATTGCCAAAATGTAACATAGGATGTAGTGAGCACATGCTGTTTGAAAAATGCTTCCCAGAGACTTGACTGACACAGAACCTTCAATTTGTGAAAAAAAAAAGAAAAATGTAGTTTCTGTGAAGTACAATCAAACAAAGTGCAATAAAATGATGTATGCCTGTACAGCCTTTTGACAGGACAATGGGAGTGGCTAATGCTGGCTGAGGGTATAGCAAGAAGCAAAGCAAAGCGATGGAAAAGCACAGGGTTCGTTTTAGAATCAGTAAACAGCCCAATTTGATTGAAGCAGAAGTTCAGGAGAATAGTGATATATGAGGTTGTAAAAGTTAGGTTAGGAGGCTTGAAAAAAACTAAGGTATAGAAAAGAAGATGTGGAAAGTGGGAGGAAGACAACATAGAAAGACACAAAAGACAGCTCAACTGATGCTAGGCAGTCCCAGTTAACAGTGAAGCCAGTTTGGAAGTCTGGGTGTCAGAATAGAATCCCTCTGGGGTTAACCACAGTGGAAAATGGCATGCAACAATTACAGTTCAAAGAGGCAAGGGATCTTGGGATAGTAGCAGGTGCACTACTGTAACAGCCAATTCAGGGGTCCAGGCTGCTTGAGGTGGCAAATGAAGTCTAAGGTGATGGTCTGAGAGAATAGTAAAGGGACTGGGTATCACTGGGAATCAAAGGGTACTCAGTAGAAGCAGGAGGGCAGGAGATCTGAGCAAACAGGAGGTTTGTATTTTAGAGTTTGAGAACTTGATGATGGGTCATTTCAAAGTGATAATAAGATTTAATGTGTGAGATTGCTTATGCATAACTACATCAAGTAGAAATAATGCGTTAGAAAGTATAAAGTATAGTAGAAATCAAGCATTAGGGTCAAAGATGTTGTAAATTTGACTGCATTGAACAAGTTTTAAAAGACAAGAGGCTTTAGTGAATAATCAATTAGGTGAGAAAAAGTTAATGTGATTTCCCAAAGGGCCAATTCTTCATAATTTTCACAGTGAGGGAAACTTGAATTAATTTACTTTGTTCCTGTTTTAGGGATCTATCAAATACAGAACTTTCAAAGACATACAATTGTCAGTTATGTCTTACCTTTGAGCTCAAAATATTCATTTAAAATATAATCACATGTAAATTAGACATAGTACATAAACTGTACTTCTTTCTTCGAATTTCTAATCTAACTGATTTTGGGAGGGGTTAATCTGCTCCCAGTGACCTACAAGATTTCAAACAGATCACTTAATACACATCATCATTGGACCATCAAAGTCACAGTTATTAGAGAATTATATGTATTTAGTTTGATATTTGATGATAGTAACATGCTATTTGCTACATATAAGAAAAGCAAACATTTTCATTAATATTCTGCTCCACCTATAAAGAATGCAGGCATTTTAATTTCTGTAATATTTCAAGTATGACTAATATGATTGAAGGATCTTTTCTCAAATAATTGACAATTAAGGTGAATTGTTTATCCTTTGACATTACCAGGAGTTAAAAACAAAACAATACAAAACAGCAAACTTAGCCTAAGTTGTACAATTACATTAATTGAATGTGACTCAGCAGCATGGATTACTCATACTGTCATTACCCCAAAGTAAAGCTTCTGGAAGTGTCCAAAAGACTGAGGCAAATTTGGACAAATAGCTAGAGTTTTAAAAAACTGGATGACATCATCAAATACTAAAGGTTTCTCAAAGTTTCTTACATATGGTGGTGTGACCTACCATAAATTGAAATAATTAATGTCTGTTTGACCTTTGAAACATTTTAGTGGTGGTCTCCATAAAAGTACAACTTGTCTTTTAACAGGTGTAACTGTCCCATAGCACAAAAGAAGCCTTACCTTCAAAGTGTATTCACTTTTAGGGACTTCTGGGACAACCAGGGCCACCTAGGTCTCCATCTCCCAATGTTTCCTCCAAAACCACTAAAGAACAACAAGGAGGAAAAAAGCAAGCCTATTCAAAATTCAAGCAAAAAGAAAAGGAGAAACAGCAACAAGTCCTAAGTCATTGAGGTTAACCTTAGTCTAAAAAATACTTTTTTTTTTTTTAAGAGAGCCTCGCTCTATCACTCAGGCTGGAGTGTAATGGTACAATCATAGCTCATTGCAGCCTCGAACTTCTGGGATCAAGCAATCCTCCTGTTTCAGCCTCTTGAGTAGCTCAGACTATAGGAGTGCTCCACCATGCCCAGCTATTTTTAATTACTTTTGAGAGTCAGGGTCTTGCTGTGTTGCCTAGGCTGGTCTCAAACTTTTGGCCTCAAGCGATCCTCCCACCTCAGTTTCCTGTGTTGCTGAGATTACAGGCGCAGCTGGGATTACAGGCATAGGCCACCTTGCCCAGCTGGAAATACTTTTTAAAAAGTGTCTGGGAGGCTGGGCGCAGTGGTTCACTCCTGTAATCTCAGCACTTTGGGAGGCCGAGGCAGGTGGATCACTTGAGGTCAGGAGTTTGAGACCAGCCTGGCCAACATAGTGAAACTCCTTCTCTACCAAATATATAAAAAAGTAGCTGAGTGTTGTGGTGTGCACCTGTAATCCCAGCTATTTGGGAGGCTGAGACAGGAGAATCGCTTGAACCCAGGAGGCAGAGGTTGCAGTGAGCCGAGAGCAGGCCACTGCACTCCAGCCTGGGAGGCAGAGCAAGACTCCATCTAAAAAAAAAAAAAAAAAGTGTCTGGGTACATCAGAATTCACATGACAAGAAAAGGACTAAAAAGTCCGTGTAATTTAAAGGAGGAGTTTATAAAACTCATGGTATCTAGGAGTGAACAATGGTTAAAATAGGAAGACAGAAGCACCTGTTGGAATTAGTCTGTGAAGTGGAAAAGAGGCAAGAGAGATAAAATTAGGATCATGTATGATAAGAGACCCATAAAATCAGAGGACAAGCAACCGTGCCCCACTGGCAAAAACAAACTAATCCACCAAAGTATGTGGACTTTTCTCTACTGACAGAAATGTGTCTCGGTAAACTAGGAATCTTGTAAAACATCCCAGTACCACAAAAATGAACGATGACAAGATTAGCAGATCCATATAGAGTTTTGAAAAAACTAGAAAACTAAATTCAATACTTATCAATTGAGGTAGACCCAAGCACAGAAAAACAACCATGAAGCAAACCAAAACTTTTAATGTAATATAATACTCCAAACAGTATTAAGCAGACACAATTGGTAATATTTTTAAAAACTCCAAGTCAGAAACTCCAAAGTTAAAGACAGTAAAAAGCAAACAAAGAAAGGAAGAAATAGACTTGATTTAACTCAGGAAAGAAATGGAAGAAAAATACAAACTTATTTTAGAAATGAAAAATAAATTACAGAATTCCTACGTGAGAACAATCCCTAGTAAAATGTAATAGGGGGCATTGGGGAATATTAAGAGGCAGGAAAACAGTAAATAAAATGAAAATGAGATTAGGAAAACAAAAAGGATAACAAAGCAATGGAAATAAGAGATAAATAAAAAAGCAATGCCATTCATATTACTTCAGTCCCTATAAAAAGATAATCAATAGAACAAAAGTACTACTGAAAAGTATAATCCAAGAAAACTGTCTTTTTCTTTTTTTTTTTTGAGATGCAGTTTCGCTCTTGTCCCCCAGGCTGGAGTGCCGTGGTGTGATCTTGGCTCACTGCAAACTCTGCCTCCCAGGTTCAAGTGATTCTCCTGCCTCAGCCTCCCGAGTAGCTGGGATTACAGGCATGCCACATCATGACCGGCTAATTTTTGTATTTTTAGTAGAGACGGGGTTTCACCATGTTGGCCAGGCTGGTCTCGAACCCCTGACCTCTGGTGATCCACCTGCCTCGGCCTCCCAGAGGGCTGGGATTACAGGTGTGAGCCACAGCGCCCGGCCTCATGACCTGCTTTTTAAAAAAAAAGATTTTCAATTTCACTCAGAGAACAAACCCCAACGCTTTTATATACAAGAGTTACACTGCAAACTGATTCAAAAGGCTAAATATAAAAGGAGGGAGAAAGGTATACAAGGCCAATGAAAACAGGAAGAATGGAAATTAACAAAATGAAAACAGAAAGCAGGGTATCCTGGAATCAGTAAAATGAAATTCAAGCCCCAAAGCAGGGATATGACAAGACATTCTTTTTTTTTCTTTCCAAGACAGAGTCCCACTCTGTCACCCAGGCAGGAGTGCAGTGGCATGATCTTGGCTCACTGGAACCTCCCCCTCCTGGGTTCAAGCAATTCTCCTGCCTCAGCCTCCTGAGTAGCTGGGATTATAGGCACCCACCACCACGCCTGGCTAATTTTTTGTATTTTTAGTAGAGACGGGGTTTCGCCGCATTGGCCACACTGGCCTCGAACTCCTGACTTCAGGTGATCCACCTGGCTTGGACTCCCAAAGTGCTGGGATTACAGGTGTGAGCCACTGCTCCCAGCCAAAAAGGACATTCTTAATGTTAAAGTCTGTAATGCAGAATGATACCATAACATTTAAGAATTTTTATTGCCAAATAATAACCTTTATGGAGTAAAAACTACAAAAGACACAGGGAGACAGAAACAGAAAGACAGTGAGAAAAGGAAAGTTTAATACTCCACCCTCAATAGGAGACAGATCAAGTGGACAAAACATAAGAAGAGAGAAGATCTAAACAATATAATATAATCAACAAGGTAGAATTTATTAATATATGTCACATTCTAAACTCTGACTATAGAGAATATGTATTCTTTTAAACTGCACGTGGCACATTCGCAAAAATTAAACATATACTTAGTCATAAGAAAACATCAATAAATTTCAAAAAGGAGAACTATCACAAACAACCATCTTTGATCATGAAGCAGTTAAACTAGAAATTGCTAATAAAAACAAAATATTTATTTTTGTCAATTGATAATTGCAGCCTTTTCATAATTAGCCAATATTTGGGGAAAAAATCGCAGGCACCTACCATGTGCTAGGCATAGGGTTTCAACAAGTATCAGATTTGGTCCTTGCCCTCAGGAGCAGTAAGTCTAGCAGAAGAAAAATAAACAGACAGACAATTAACATACAGTGAGGCTTGTAAGAGTAGGTATTACAGCAGATGGTGAAACTCTGGCTTCTTGCTCTTTACTATACCATGGTACTATGTAGATATAATCACTATAGGCATGTTCCTATTTTTCGGAAATAGACACATATTTAGCATAAAGGGGCAATGATACATACATCTGACTTTCAAGTGGTTCAGAAAGATAAAGAGCTAAAGTAAATGCAGTAAAATGTAAAATACAAAAGTGAATCCGGGTCAGGGGTGGTGGCTCACGCCTGTAATCCTAGCACTTTGTGAGGCCGAGCTGAGAAGATCACTTGAGTTCAGGAGTTCAAGACCAGTCTGGGAAACATGTTGAAACCTTGTCTCTAGAAAAAAAATTGAAAAAAAAAAAAATTAGCCGGGCGTGGTGCCTGTGGTCCCAGCTATTTGGTGGCTGAGGTGGGAGGATCACTTAAGCCCAGGAGGTTGAGGCTACAGTGAGCTGAGAGCATGCCACTGCACTCTAGCCTGTGCGACAGAGTGAGACCTTGTCTCCAAAAATAAAAATAAAAAAAAACAAGTTAATCTGGACAAAGGGAATATGGTTTTGCTTATACTTTCCTGATCTTGCAACTTTTTCTAAGTTTGAAATAGTTTCAAAGAAAAATTTAAAAATAAAAAGAAATCTCTAGAGAAACATTACCTCCTTAAAAATTAATATCTTTTTAATATTCAAAAGAAAATATGTCAAGATATTCAATTTTTCACAGTTTAGCTTTGTATTTTTTATTTTTTATTTTATTTTTATTTTATTTTATTTTTTTCCGAGACTGAGTCTCGCTCTGTTGCCCAGGCTGGAGTGCAGTGGCCTAATCTTGGCTCACTGCAACCTCCGCCTCCTAGGTTCAAGTGATTCTCCTGCCTCAGCCTTCCTAGTAGCTGGGATTACAGGTGCCCACCACCATGCCCAGCTAATTTTTGTATTTTTGGTAGAGACAGGGTTTCACCATATTTAACAGGCTGGTCTTGAACTCCTGGTCTCAGGTGATCCACCCGCCTCGGCCTCCCAAAGTTCTGGATTACAGGAGTGAGCCACTGCACCCGGCCAGTTTAGTTTTATATAGTTCAATTTACTTGAGCCTTCTCTGGCTACGTTTTTGGTGTTTGTTTGTTTGTTTTCTCCCCTTGCAATGTCACATACATTGTTAAAATGCCTGTTTTTAGATCTTTTCTAAATATTTAAAAATTGTTCCTTTCCTTTCAAATTCTCCATTTTCTGAGATTAAACTTTTATTATTTAAGTTAATATTCCAATGCAAAATTTAAAATATGTATTTTAATGAGATCTTCGAAATTTGAAAATTACATGGTTTCACACTTCAAATAGTAAAGCCCAATTCCTTGAAGAGCTTACTTTTGAGGTGGAAGCAGAGGAAAGAGTACAGGAAAAAAAAAAAAAAAACAGATAAGGTTTATAGGGAAATCAGATACAGAACCCTAGAGTTGTAGAGCTCTGTTTTGAAGGACACATAAGAGTTCAGGAAACAACAGAAAACACGCAAAGACAAAAAGAATAGCATTTGTTTGTTAAATAAGCAAGCTTATGAAGAAACAAGCTTCTTTCCTCCTCATTTTTTTTTTTTTTTTTACTTACCTGAGACAAACTTCTTCCCATACATCATGTGGTCATGACTGATTGAGCATGCCAGAATCAACAGTCTCATCAAGGAAAAAGAATCTCATCAGGAGGACCAATAGTAACTTAAAGAGGACCAATGATCCTGTCAGGAGGACCTATAGCCATCTCAAGGGGACAAAGGGTCTCATCAGAAGAACCAACGGGCATCTTCTCTTCCTCCTGGCTTCACAGGAATCAGTAAATATCCCTGCCCTTTTTTGCCTTTATATAGGATCAAGTAACTGAGTTCTGGCTAATGAAATGTGGAGGAGTATGAACCACTTATGTGTGGATCACCTCCCCTTCTATTTCCATGATATGAGAGGGCCTACTTCGTTTAAAAATTAGGAACATGCTGTACACATTCTCTTTGCATTGTTGAGCTTTAAGAGCGTGGCCTGATTGCAAAAGGTCACAAGATGCTATTTGACTTTTTCTCTTCCCTTGCATGCAATTCAGATGCAAAGAATCCAGATCCTGAGGTCCGAGAAGCTGGCAGAGCTACATGATGAGACGTCCCTGACTGATTGCAATTAACTAAGAAATAAACCAATCCTAATTTTTTAACACTTCCCCTGTCCCCCTAATACTCTACCACTTAGAATCATTTTGAAGATTAAATAAGAGTGCCTGACACATACTGTTAGAGAAGTGGTTACTATTATCATTCTTTGTTTGGAGGAGATTTTCTCAGCTTCTAAGATGTTTACTAGCTTTATAGCCTAAGGACATTTCTATCCTCCAGGCTGCTTTCCTCATCTGAAAACGGGATAGCCCATTTAACAAATGTTTGTTGCACATCTAATATATACCAAAGAATCATCCACATTAAGAGCACAAGAAATTGAACAAGATCAATAATGTTCCTGCTTTGATAGTGCTTACATTCTCATACACATAGAGATTATAAACATAAAAACAAATAATTAAAGAAAAACAAAAATTGATATGAAGAATGTAAACAGGGTGACTTAGTGGGGGACTGGGAGAGGGGTAGAAGTAATTTAGATCAGATGACTTGAAAAGTTGTTACTGAGCAGGTGGAATTTGAGCTAAGACCTGAATGGCATAAAGGAATCAGGCTTGTGTGCAAACATCAAGAGGACAAATGCCTCAGGTAGAGGGAACAACCAGGGCACAGGCTTTGAAGATGAAATAAATGTAGCGTGCTCACATAGGCCAGCGTACCTAGAATGGTTGGTGAATGAGGCGGAGAGAGGACAAGATGAGTTTGGAGATTCAGGCAGGGGCAAGATCGAGGTGAGACTTTCTGGAACATCAAGAATTTTGAATTTAGCTGTAATACAGCTTAAGATTTTAAGCTAGAGAGAGACATTATATGATTAAACATTAGAAAGATAACGTTGGCCGCTCTATGGAAATTGGACTGTAGAGCAGCCAGCAGGAGTGCAAGTCAAAGGAGTGTATTTGTTTATTTTCACACTGCTGAAAAAGAAATACCCGAGACTGGATAATTTATTAAAAAAAAAATGTTTAATGGACTCACATTTCCACATGGCTGGGGAGGCCTCACAATCATGACGGAAGGCAGAAGGCATGCCTTTTGTGGCGGCAGGCAAGAGAGAATGAAGGCCAACCAAAGGAGGAAACCCCTTATAAAATCATCAGATCTCATGAGACTTATTCACTACCACGAGAACAGTATGGGGGAAACTGCCCCATGATTCAATTATGTTCCACTGCGTCCCTCCCACAACATGTGGCCATTATGGCAGCTACAGCTCAAGATGAGATTTGAGTGGGGACTCAGCCAAACGATATCATTCCACCCCGGGCACTCTCAAATCTCATGTCCTCACATTTGAAAACCAATCATGCCTTCCCAACAGTCCCTCAAACTCTTAACTCATTTCAGCATTCGCTTGTAAGTCCACAGTCCAAAGTCTCGTCTGAGACAAGGCAAGTTCCTTCTGCTTATGAGCCTCTAAAATCAAAAGCAAATTAGTTACTTCTGAGATACAACGGGGGTACAGGCATTGAATAAATACACCCATTGCAAATGGGAGAAATTGGCCAAAATGAAGGGGGTGAAGGCCCCATGCAAATCTAAAATCCAGCGGGGCAGTCAAATCTTAAAGTTCCAGGTGATCTCCTTTGACTCCATGTCTCACATCCAGGTCACGCTGGTGCGAGAAGTGGGTTCCCACAGCCTTGGGCAGCTTCATCCCTCTGGCTTTGCAGGGTACAGCCTCCCTCCCAGCTGCTTTCATGGGCTGGTGTTGAGTGTTTGTGGCTTTTCTAGGTGCAAGTGCAAGCTGTCGGTGGATCTACCATTCTGGGGTCTGGTGGACGATGGCCCTCTTTTAACAGTTTCACTAGGAGTTCCCCAGTGGGGACTCTGTGTGGGGGCTTCAACCCCACATTTCCCTTCCACACTGCTCTAGCAAAAGTTCTCCATGTAGGCCCCACCCCTACAACAAATTTATGCCTGGACATCCAGGCATTTCCATACATCCTCAAAAAGCTAGGCAGAAGTTCCCAAACCTCGATTCTTGACTTCTGTGTACCCACAGGCTCAACACCACTGGGAAGCTGCCAAGGCTTGGGGCTTGTACCCTCTGAAGCCGCAGCCCGAGCTGTACCTTGGCCTTTTTTAGTCATGGCAGAGCAGCTGGTACGCAGGGCACCAAGTCCGTAGGCTGCACACAAAAGGGGGGCCTTGGGCGCAGCCCAGGAAATCATGTTTTCCACTTAGGCCTCCAGGCCTGTGATCAGAGGGGCTGCCACAAAGGTCTCTGACATGCCCTGGAGACATTTTCCCCATGGTCTTGGCTATTAACATTTGGTTCCTCGTTACTTATGCAAATTTCTGCAGCTGGCTTGAATTTCTTCTCAGAAAATGTGTTTTTCTTTTCTATTGCGTCATCAGCTGTAAATTTTCTGAACGTTTATACTGTTTTCCTTTTAAAACTGAATGCTTTTTACAACACCCAAGTCACCTCTTGAATGCTTTGCTGCTTAGAAATTTCTTCTGCCAGATAGATACCCTAAATCATCTCCCTCAAGTTCAAAGTTCCACAAATCTCTAGGCAAAGGCAAAATGCTACCAGATTCTTTGCTAGAACAGCAAGAGTCACCTTTATTCCAGTTCCCAACAAGTTCCTCATCTTCATGTGAGACCACCTTAGCATATATTTTATTATTTATATCATTATCAGCATTTTGGTCAAAGCCATTCAACAAGTCTATAGGAAGGTCCAAACTTTCTCACATTTTCCTGTCTTCCTCTGAGCCCTCCAAACTGTTCCAACCTCCCCCTTTTACCCAGTTCTGAAGTCACTTCCACATTTTCAGGTATGTTTACAGCAGTGTCACACTCTACCAGTACAAATTTACTGTATTAGTTTGTTTTTATGCTGCTGATAAAGCCATACCGAACACTGGGTAATTTATACAGAAAATGAGGTTTAATGGACTCACATTTCCACATGGCTGGGGAGGCCTTCCAATCATGGTGGAAGGCTGAAGTCACATCTTATATGACAGCAGACAAAAGAGATTGAAAGCCAGCGAAAGGGGAAACCCCTTATAAAATCATCAGATCTCCTGAGACTTATTCGCTACCACAAGAACAGTATAAGTGAAACTGCCCCTGTGATTCAATTATCTTTCACGGGGTCCTCCCACAACACGTGGGCATTATGGGAGCTACAATGCAATATGAGATTTGGGTGGGGACACGGCCAAAGCATATCAAGGAGCAATTAGAAGACCGTTACAATTATTTAGACAAAAGATGATGATGACTTAGACTGGACTTATAGCTGCAGAGATAAAGAGAAGTGGATGGATTTGGGATATATATTTTAGAGGTAGAGCAAATAGGACTTGGTAATGCATTGGATATGGAGGCAAGAATAAAGTAGATGGCAATGGTAATCCCCAAGTATTGGGTACATGATACCAGGTACCTAGGTGGTATAATTTACTAAGATAGGGAGGAGTAGAAATAGCAGAGGCATTTTCTCACTCTTTCACTGCCTCCCCCGGGAGAAATCTACTGTGGCCTTGTCAATAACAATGAACTTGTATTATTAACACAAGTAATGACAGTGGCAACTATTTCACAGCGGTGTTGAAATTTGTGTGCGTGTGCATGTGTGTGTGTTTGCCTGTGTGTGAAAAACAGTTGTGCAGAAGTCACTGTTTTCCACTCATCTCTGGTTCTGCCTTCTCTTCCTTTTATTAGTATTTAGCAAGTAAGCAAGCTCAGGATGGGTGACGAGTGATTCCTGTGGGACTTAGACCCCTGAAGTGTAGGCAGAGACTGTGAACATTAAGGGAGATCACTCCTGTGATTATGTTACTCTGCATGAAAAAAGGTAAAAATCTCTTGTTCCACAACTTACTATCTATGCGACCTTAATTGACATAGCTCAGGTGACTGAAGCTGCATGTTGAGACTAGTAGAGTTGCCTGTAAGGTTAAGAGACTGCTCTCATTTCCCTAAGAGGTGTGTGTGTGTATGTGTGCGGTGCGCACACAGATTGTGAACACACAGTTCACAATCATTAGATTTGCATTGAGCCCAGAGTAGTGTTTAAGTGCCACTTCTGGAAATGTAGCAGATCTCTGTACCAGAGTGCTGGTCATTGAGATCTGTCACTGATATGATTGAAGATGCCAGAGTCTTTGGTATAGGGGGCTAAACCCAGACAGAAACAGAAGCTGACTTATAACTTTAGTAAGGAACATAGCCATCTTGTATTGTCTGGGGACGTGGATATTCTGGGATGTCCAGGGAAAATGGGTTTCCTCTGTTTCAGAGCTTTATAAATTCAGACTTTTTTTTGAAGAGCCTTCTGGATCTTATAAAAGTCATTGGTAAACATGTTGAATAGCATAGTGCACAGGGGCGCTGTGCCAAAATCCCACTTAAAAACCTTTGAGACCAAAGCTTTAGTAAGATGTTTCATTTATTTAAGTTTTTTTTTTTTAACACTTTATTTTTTTAGAACAGTTTTAGGTTCTCAAGCCTCCCAAAATTAATCTGTAAATTCACCTGGTTTAAAAATATTTTTAGCAAAGCAAAGGGGCAAATAGTAGTTAAGACAATTTTGGAGAAAAAGATGAATGACTTACCTTATCAGACAAATCATCTGAATTCCATCATCATATTTTTCAATTGATACATAATATTTGTACATATGTTTGGGGTATTTTTGATATTTCATTACATGCATAGATGTATAATGCTCAAGTCAAGATATTTAGGATAACCATCACCTTGAGCATTTATCATTTCTATGTGTTGGGAACATTTCAAGACCTCTCTTCTAGCTATTTTGAAATATACAACACGTTGTTAACTATAGTCACATTACTCTCTATCAACCAATAGAAATTATTCTTTCTATCTAACTGTATGTTTGCACACATTAACAAACCTCTCTTTTGCCCCCTCCTGCCACACACCCTTACCAGTCTCTGGGAACAATCATTCTACTCTCTACCTCCATGAGATTAACTGTTTTAGCTCCCACATATGAATGAGAACATGCAATATTTGTCTTTTTGTACCTGGCTTATTTCACTTAATATAATGATCTGCAGTTTCCTCCATGTTTCTGCAAATGACAGGATTTTATTATTTGCATGGCTGAATAGTATTCCATTGTGTACATATGTCACATTTTCATTATCCATTCACCTGTTGATGGAAACAGGTTGATTCCATTTCTTTGCTATGGTGAATAGTGCTACAATTAAATGGGGGTACAGGTGTGCTTTTGATATGCTGAGATTTTCTTCGGTAAATACCCAGTAGTGGGAATGCTGAATCTTATTGGTAGTTCCATTTTTAGTTTTGTTTTTTTTTATAAATCTCCATATTGTTTTCCATAATAGCTGTATTAATTTACATTTCCACAAACAAATCTCCACATCCTCACCAGCATCTAATTTTTTTTTGTATTTTTGATACTAGCCGTTCTAAGTGGTGTAAGATAATATTTCATTGCAGTTTTGATTTACATTTTCTGATGTTTAGAGATGTCAAGCATTTTTTTTTCATATGCCTGTTGGATGTTTGTATGTTTTCCTTTGAGAAATTTCTATTCAGATCATTTGCCTACTTTTTTTGTTAGACAGAGTCTCACTCTGTTGCCCAGGCTAGAGTGTGGTCATGCTATCTCGGCTCAGTGCAGCTTCAATTTCCTGGGCTCTCACCTCAGCCTCCCAAGTAAGTGAGACTACAGTTTCATACCACCACACCTGGCTTTTTTTTTCTTTCTTTTTTTTTTTTTTGTAGAGACAGGGTTTCGCCATGGTGGCCACGCTGGTCTTGAACTCCTAAGCTCAAGCAATCCGTCTGCCTGGGCCTCCCAAAGTGCTGGAGTTACAGTCATGGACCACCATGCCTGGCCCATTTGCCCACTTTATAATGAACTAATTTATGGGGTATTTTGGCTGTTGTTTGAATTCCTTATATTTTCTGCATATTTAGTCCCTTGTCAGATGAATAGTTTGCAAATATTGTCTCCCGTTCATCGGGTGGTTTCTGCACTCTGTTAATTGTGCAGAAGCCTTTTAGTTTAATATATTTCCGTTTGTCTATTTTTGGTTTTGTTGCCTGTGCTTTTGAGGTCTTAGCTATAAAATCTTTTCCTAGATCAGTGTCCTGGAGTGTTTTCCTTATGTTTTTTTTTTTGAGACGGAGTCTTGCTCTGTCGCCCAGGAGGCTGGAGTGCAGTGGCGTGATCTCGGCTCACTGCAAGCTCCGCCTCCCGGGTTCACGCCATTCTCCTGCCTCAGCCTCCCTAGTAGCTGGGACTACAGGCGCCTGCCACCATGCCTGGCTAATTTTTTGTATTTTTGGTAGAGATGGGGTTTCACCATGTTAGCCAGGATGGTCTCTATCTCCTGACCTCGTGACCCACCCACCTCAGCCTCCCAAAGTGCTGGGATTATAGGTGTGAGCCACCACGCCTGGCCCCCTTATGTTTTTTTTTTTTTTTCAAGTGGTTTTATAGTTTGGAATCTCATGTTAAAGTGTTTAATTTAGTTTGAATTGATTTTGTCACATGGTGAGAGATAGGGGTCTAGTTTCATTCTTCTGCCTCTGGATATCTATTTTTCCCAGCACCATTTATTGAAGAGGGTATCCTTTTTTCAGTGTATGTTCTTGGCATCTTGGTAAACAGATAGCTGTGAATTTGTGGATTTATTTCTGGATTCTCTATCCTGTTACATTGGACTACATGTCTGTTTCTATACCAACGCCATGCTATTTTGGTTACTATAGTCTTATAATATATTTTGAAATCAGGTAATGTGATTCCTCTAGCATTGTTCTTTTTGCTCAGGATTGCTTTGGCTATTTGGGCTCTTTTTTGGTTTTATACAAATTACAAGCTTGTTTCTTTTTCTATTTCTGTGAAAAACATCACTGATATTTTGATAGGGAAGGCACTGAATATGTAGATTTCTTTGAATTGAACGGTAATTTTAACAATATTAAGTCTTCTTATTCATGAGCATGGGATGTCTTTTTTTTGGGCAGCACAAATCTTTAATGTTTTGAGATCACAGCGAAATGGAAATTACTCAGAACAAACTTCTGCTATGGGAGTGTCTTGGGCCAGATGAAGGGGGCTGGTGGTAGGGAACATCTCAGACATTTTGTAGGAGATCTTCCTGAGGGTGTCAGTGAACAAGATGCAGTGACAAAACGACTTCACAAAATAGAGAAACAATGTGGTCAGAGGGATTGATCAGAGAGACTCCCTGTCCTGGCCCCTGTTCGCTGAGCAATTCAATGACATTTGTCCTGTGTGGGCCAGTTACTCAATTGTTGTCTTAGTATGTAATTTTATTTAAAATATTTGATAAAATAGCAACATATTTAGCTGATTAAAAAGTTCAAACAGTTTTTAAATTTTTTTGTTTTGTTTTTCATTTTTTTTTTCATGGTTTTTTTTTTTTTTATTATACTTTAAGTTTTAGGGTACATGTGCACAATGTGCAGGTTTGTTACATATGTATACATGTGCCATGCTGGTGTGCTGCACCCACTAACGCGTCATCTAGCATTAGGTATATCTCCCAATGCTATCCCTCCCCCCTCCCCCCACCCCACCACAGTCCCCAGAGTGTGATATTCCCCTTCCTGTGTCCATGTGATCTCATTGTTCAATTCCCACCTATGAGTGAGAATATGCGGTGTTTGGTTTTTTGTTCTTGCGATAGTTTACTGAGAATGATGGTTTCCAATTTCATCCATGTCCCTACAAAGGACATGAACTCATCATTTTTTATGGCTGCATAGTATTCCATGGTGTATATGTGCCACATTTTCTTAATCCAGTCTATCATTGTTGGACATTTGGGTTGGTTCCAAGTCTTTGCTATTGTGAATAATGCCGCAATAAACATACGTGTGCATGTGTCTTTATAGCAGCATGATTTATAGTCATTTGGGTATATACCCAGTAATGGGATGGCTGGGTCAAATGGTATTTCTAGTTCTAGATCCCTGAGGAATCGCCACACTGACTTCCACAATGGTTGAACTAGTTTACAGTCCCACCAACAGTGTAAAAGTGTTCCTATTTCTCCACATCCTCTCCAGCACCTGTTGTTTCCTGACTTTTTAATGATTGCCATTCTAACTGGTGTGAGATGATATCTCATAGTGGTTTTGAATTGCATTTCTCTGATGGCCAGTGATGATGAGCATTTCTTCATGTGTTTTTTGGCTGCATAAATGTCTTGTTTTGAGAAGTGTCTGTTCATGTCCTTCGCCCACTTTTTGATGGGGTTGTTTGTTTTTTTCTTGTAAATTTGTTTGAGTTCATTGTAGATTCTGGATATTAGCCCTTTGTCAGATGAGTAGGTTGCGAAAATTTTCTCCCATGTTGTAGGTTGCCTGTAGCCCGCATCGCCAAGTCAATCCTAAGCCAAAAGAACAAAGCTGGAGGCATCACACTACCTGACTTCAAACTATACTACAAGGCTACAGTAACCAAAACAGCATGGTACTGGTACCAAAACAGAGATATAGATCAATGGAACAGAACAGAGCCCTCAGAAATAACGCCGTATATCTACAACTATCTGATCTTTGACAAACCTGAGAAAAACAAGCAATGGGGAAAGGATTCCCTATTTAATAAATGGTGCTGGGAAAACTGGCTAGCCATATGTAGAAAGCTGAAACTGGATCCCTTCCTTACACCTTATACAAAAATCAATTCAAGATGGATTAAAGATTTAAACGTTAGACCTAAAACCATAAAAACCCTAGAAGAAAACCTAGGCATTACCATTCAGGACATAGGCGTGGGCAAGGACTTCATGTCCAAAACACCAAAAGCAATGGCAACAAAAGCCAAAATTGACAAATGGGATCCAATTAAACTAAAGAGCTTCTGCACAGCAAAAGAAACTACCATCAGAGTGAACAGGGATGTCTTTCTGTTTGCCTGTTATCTCTTCAGTTTCTTTGATCAGTGTTTTGTAGTTTTTCTTATAGGGATCTTTCACTTCCTTGGTTAAATTTAGTCCTAGGTATTTTATTCTTGTAGCTATTGTAAATGGGATTTCCTCCTTGTTTTCCATCTCAGCTAGATCATTATTTGTATGTAGAAACACTATTGATTTTTGTATGTTGATCATGTATCCTGCAACTATCCTGAATTTGCTTATCTGATCTGAGTTTTGTGGTTATGTCTTTAGGTTTTTCTAAATATAAGATCATGTCATCTGCAAAGAGAGACGATTTGACATCCCCATTTTCCAATTTGGATGCTCTTTATTTCCTTCTCTTGCCTGATTGCTCTGGCTAAGACTTCCATTTCATTGTTGAATAGGAGTACTGAAAGTAGGCATCCTTACATTCTTCCAGTATTTAGAGAACAAGTTTTCAGCTCTTCCTCATTCACTGTGATGTTAGCTGTGGTTTTATCATATATGGTCTTTATTATGTTGAGCTATGTTCAGTTTTTATTGTGAAATGATACTGAATTTTATCAAATGATTTTACTGCAGTGGTGGAGATGATCATATAATACTGATTTTTGTTCTGTTAATTCGATGTAACATATTTATTGATTTGTTTACCATGAACCATCCTTGCATCTCTGAAATAAATACCACTTTATCATGGTATGTTATCTTTTTATGCGAAGTTGAATTTGGTTTACTAATGTTGAGGATTTTTACATTTAGGTTTTTCAGGGATATCGATCCATAGTTTTCCTTTTTTGTTGCATGCATGTCTGGTTTTGGTGTTAGGGTAATACTAGACTCATAAAAAGATGTAAGGAGAATTCTTTCCTCTTCAATTTTTTTGAAATAATTTCAGGATAATTGGTGTTAGTTCTTCTTTATAAGTTTGGTAGAATTCAGCTTTTCCATTGGTAGCAGATGTTTTTGGCCTATTCTTTGGCCTTCTGGTGGTGAACACATGGGCCTGAGGTGATGGACAGTGTGTGGTGATTCCCAGGTTCCCGGGTGGCATGCTTGGGTACTGAGGTGGCGAGGTGCCAGCCCAAGTGGTCATATTCTCAGGTCCCCCAGTGGTGTGCACAAGTCAGGTGGTGGTGTACTGGACAGAGCAATCTCCAGGCCACCTGGCTACATGCTTAGATGGCAGAAGTGGTGGTAGCAATGGAGGTGGGCAGGGAGAGCCCACCCTTAGGGCACATGCCAGTGTACTGTGGCCCTGTTTCTGGTGGGGGTGGGATTGCCTGTCTCAGCATCCCCAGAGAAGTAGCTTTCAGGCTCTGGGGGGGCCTGTACTTTAACTCTTTTTGTCCTGAGTGCAGCCTTTCCAGTCCACTGCACTGCCAGTTGTTTGGGGTTTCTGACATCGTGTGGTCTAAAGTGTTGGGAAACAGCCAAACTACTGAGTCCAGTCAGCATCATGCTGCTGCAGCCCTCTAGGCAAACATGGGGAAAAGTCAGTGGGGGCTCCAGGGATGTAGTGAGGCAGGGGCTGTTGGACCCCAAGGCAGGATGTATCCTGGTGGGGTGGGGCTCTGAAAATGCCAATGTACTCCGGATACTTGGGTCTTGGGGTATATCTGGGACCAAGTGTGATCTCCTTCCTTGGAGCAATATCATCATAAATATTCCAGGAAGATATCTATATTAGTCTCAGGGCCTGCAAGGGTCGAGGTACTCTCTTATGGCAGGATTTCAAGAGTTTATAGTGAAAATGTGGACCACTGGAAATCTGTCACTTACCTTTTCCTTGCACTAGGGGCTCTCTCTGGGCTGCCAGCCAATTCCAGCCAGGCCAGCTGCCTTATGTCCTTCTCCTTCCTTGCCTTAGGTGTTTCCTGTCACTTCTCTGCTGAATTCCAGTGTTCTCTCTCAGATGCTCTATGTGAAGTGTGACTATTTACTATTTTGGTTCTTCTTTGTGGATAAAGTAAGTGCCAAATGACTCTAGTCAGCCATCTTTAGATTTTTATTTTTAATGAAGACCAGCTTAATAATTCTTTCAGGGTTTATGCCTTTCATATTGTATCCAAAAAGTCATCATAAATCTCAAAATCATCAAGATTTTCTCCTGTTTTCTAGCAATTTTATAGTTTTGCATTTTACATTTAGGCCTGTGATCCATCAGAGTTAGTTCATGTGAATGGTGTAACATCTATATGTAGAGTCATGGTTTTGCACGTGGATGTCCAGTTGTTACAGCATCATCTGTTGAAAAGACTATATTAGCTACATTGTATTGCCTTTGCTATTTTTTCAAAGATAGGTTGACTATATTTATGTGGGTCCGTTTCTGGGATCTCTATTCTGTTCTATTCATCTACGTGTCTATACTTTCAGCAATACCACACTGTTTTGCTTACTCTAGCTTTATAATGAATCTTGAAGACAGATACTGTCACTCTTCAAATTTTGTTCTTCTCCTTCAATATTTTGCTAATAATTCTGTGTCTTTTGTCTCTACATATGAACTTTAGAGTCAATATCCACAAAATAACTTCCGGGATTTTGACTAGGATTGTACTAAACCTATAGATCAGTTTGGGAAGAACTAACAATTAGAGTGTATTTAATTTTCCTTTTGTTAGGGAGGCATGAACCTAGAAGAACCAGAGTGACATCACCTTAAAATTCACTTCATCTTGAAACTAACAAGGCATATTGCTTGCCAGTCAGAACTCATGGTGTTAAGATGTTTACAGCTAAGGAAGCTGCTTGGTAATAACTCCCAAGGACAAACTCTTACAACAACAGAAAGTCCAGATGTCCCAATACACATAACAATATATATTTTCAAGATAATTATAGTTATGATTTGAAGTACTCACACACTACAATATCAGAAGTAATTTTATTTAAATCAATAGAATAAGAAGTTTTGTCATGCTGTCAGCCCACCTGCACGTAAGGACAGCATAATTTAGTCTTTACATAGATAAGACCCCTATGTAAGAACAACTTAACAATGGCATGTTCCTCTCCTTGCTTCCTAAGGATACCCTACTCTGTAAAGGAGTAGTTACTAATAAACTTGCTTCTTTTACTGTGCTCTGTGATTCATCGTTAATGCTTTTCTGTGCAAGAGCCAAGAACATGCTCCTGGGATCTAGATCAAGACCCCTTTTTCCAGTAACACTTTCTATTAACATAAAATATATCTCCAATTACTGAGTTCTTTTTTATTTCTTTCAGATAGCTCTTGTACTTATCTTGCTAGATTTATACCTAAGTATTTCATTGTTTGCATTTAGTTGTTTTTCGAGAGTTGATATCTCACTGTGTTGCCCAGGTTGGAGTGCAGGGGTTATTCACAGATGCCATTATAATGCAATGTGACCCTGAACTTCCGTCTCCAAGAGATCCTCCCATCTCAGCCTCCCAAGTAGCTAAGACTACAGGTATAGGCCACCACACTCAGCAGTATTTTATATTTTGTGCAAATGTAAATGTTTTTATGTTTTAAATTTCAAATTCCACTTTTTCATTTCTGGTATTTGCTTTTGCATGTTAACCTTACCCTGAAACCTTGTTATAATTGCTTATTAGTTTTAGTTTTTGTTGTTGTGGATTCTTTTAGATTTTTCCATAGATGATAATGTCGCCTGCAAACAAAGACAGTTTTATTTCTTCCCAATCAGTATACCTTTTACTTCCTTTTCTTGTCATTGTGTTAGCTAAGACTTCCAGTATAATCTTGACAACAAGTAGTGAGAGGGGATGTCCTTTGCTTGTTCCTAACCTTAGGGAAAAAGCTTCTAATTTCTTCCTGTTAATAATGATGTTAGCTCTAGGTTTTTTGTAGATATTCTTTACCAAGTTAGGAAGTTCCCTTTTATTCCTAGTTTGCTGAATGTTTTCATTATGAACGGGTTTGGATTTTATCAAGTACATTTTGTGCATCTATACATATAATCGTGATTTTTCTTCTTTAGCTTACTAATGTGATGGCTTACATTGATTTTCTAATGTTGAACCAGCCTTGCACACCTGTTCGTGGTGTTCAACTCTTTTCATACATTGTGAGTTTCAATATGCTAATATTTTGTTTAGGAATTTTGCATCTATGCTTATGAAACTTAATCGTCTATAGTTTTTTTTTCTGGTAAAATATATTTCTCTTGTTTTGGTATTAGGATGGTGCTAGGCTCATAGAATTAGTTAGAAAGTATTCCCTCTGCTTCTGTCTTATGAAAGAGCTTCTGAAGAATTGGTATAATTTCTTCCTTTAGTGTTTGTTAGAATTCATCAGTCAACCTATCTTGGCCTGGTGCTTTCTTTTTGGAAGGTTCTAAATTATTAATTTATAGGAAAGAGAAAGATAAAGGGCATAAAAATAGGAAGAGAGGAAATCAAACTATCCCAGTTGGCAGACAACATGATTCTGCGTCTAGAAAACTTTATTGTCTCAGGCCAAAACTTCCTTTAGCAGAAAATCAACTTCAGCAAACATTCAGGATACAAAATAAATATAGAAAAATCACTAGCTTTCCTATACACCAACAACAGCAAAGCTGAGAGTCAAAAAGAAACACAATCCCATTCAGAATTGCCACAGAAGAAAAAAAATTAGAATACAGCTAACCAAGGAGGTGAGAGATCTTTACAGTGAGAATTACAAAACACTGCACAAAGAAATCAGAGATGTCACAAATAAATGGAAAAACATTTCATGCTCATAGATTGGAAGAATCAATATGATTAAAATGGTAATACTGCCCAAAGCAATTTATAGGTGTAGTGCTATTCCTATCAAACTACCAATGACATTCTTCACAGAACTAAAATAAAAACTATTTTAAAATTTATGACTGAAAACCAAAGCAAAAAAGAGCTCAACTTAGCCAAAGCAATTCTAAGCAAAAAAAAAGGCTGAAGGCATCACACTATCCAACTTCAAACTATACTACAGGACTACAGTAACCAAAAAAAGTATGGTACCGGCACAGAAACAGATACATAGATCAATGCAACAGAATAGAGAGCTCAGAAATAAAGCCACAAACCTACAACTGTCTGATCTTTGACAAAGCTGACAAAAACAAAGACACCCTATTCCATAAATGGTGCTGGGATAACTGGCTAGCCATACATAGAAGATTGAAACAGGATCCTTTCCTTATACCATATGCAAAAATAAATTCAAGATGGATTAAAGACTTAAATGTAAAACCCAAACCTATAGAAACCCTGGAAGACAACCTAAGCGATACCATTCTGGACTTAGGAATGAGCCAAGATTTCATGACAAAGTTGTCAAAAGCAATCACAACAGCAAAAAAATGATAAGTTGAATCTAATTAAAGAGCTTCTGCAGAGAAAAAAACTATCAAAAGAGTAAGCTTACAACCTACAGAATGGGAGAAAATATTTGTAAACTATGCACCTGACAAAGGTTTAATATATACCATCCATAAGTAACTTAAACATATTTATAAGAAAAGACATACAATTCCAGTAAAAAGTGGGCAAAGGACATGAACAGACACTTTTCACAAGAAGACATACATGTGACCAACAAGCATATGAAGAAAAGCTTAATATCACTGATCATTAGAGAAATGCAAATAAAAACCACAATGAGATACCATCTCACATCAGTCAGAATGACTATTATTAAAAGTGTAAAATAACAGATGCTGATGTGAGTGTGGAGAAAAGGGAGCAATTATACACTGTTGTTAGGAGTCGAAATTAGTTCAAACATTATGGAAAACAGGGTGGCAATTTCTCAAAGACCTAAAAAAAGGAACTATCCTTCAACCCAGCAACCCCATTACAAGGAATTTACCCAAAGGAATATAAGCCATTCTACCATAAAGACACATAAATGCATATGTTTATCACAACATTCACAACACTATTCACACTATTCACAATAGTGAAGAGTGAATATTATGACATTGTAATAATGTTGTAATATTGTGAATATTACAACACTATTCACAATAGCAGAAACATTGGATCAAACTAAGTGTCCATCAGTGGCAGTTTGGATAAAGAAAATCTGGTGGTTTCCATTCCAAGATGCCCAAATAGGAATAGCTCTGGTCTGCAGCTACCAGCGTGATCGATGTAGAAGATGGGTGATTTCTGAATTTGCAACTGAGGTACCTGGTTCATCTCACTGGGACTGGTTGGACAGTGGGTGCAGCCCATGGAGGGTGAGCTGAAGCAGGGTGGGGCATCACCTCACCCGGGAAGCGCAAGGGGTCAGGGGATTTCCCTTTCCTAGTCAAGGGAACCTGGGACAGACTGTACCTGGAAAAATGGGACACTTCCACCCAAATACTGCACTTTTCCCATGGTCTTAGCAACTGGCAGACCAGGAGATTCTCTCCCCTGCCTCCTTGACAGGTCCCACGCCCACGGAGCCTGGCTCACTGCTACTGCAGCAGTCTGAGATTGACGTGTGAGGCTGAGCCTGGCAGGGGAGGGGCGTCCACCATTGGTGAGGCTTGAGTAGGTAAACAAAGTGGCCAGAAAGCTCAAACTGGGCAGAGTCCACTGCAGCTCAGCAAGGCCTACTGCCTCTATAGACTCCACCTCTGTGGGCAGTGCATAGCTGAACAAAAGGCAGCAGAAACTTCTGCAGACTTAAACGTCCCTGTCTGACAGCTCTGAAGAGAGCAGTGGTTCTCTCAGCATGACGTCTGAGCTCTGAGAACGGACAGACTGCCTCCTCAAGTGGGTCCCTCACCCCCATGTAGCTAAACTAGGAGACACCTCCCAGTAGGGGCCGACAGACACCTCATACAGACAGGTGTCCCTCTTGGATGAAGCTTCCAGAGAAAGGATCAGGCAGCAATATTTACTGTTCTGCAGTATTTGCTGTTCTGCAGCGTCTGCTGGTGATACCCAGGCAAACAGGGTCTGGAGTGGACCTCGAGCAAACTCCAACAGACCTGCAGCTAAGGGACCTGACTGTTAGAGGGAAAACTAGCAAACAGAAAGGAATAGCATCAACATCAACAAAAAGGACATCTACAACAAAACCCCATCTGTAGGTCACCAACATCAAAGACCAAAGGTAGATAAAAACACAAAGATGGGGAGAAACCAGAGAAGAAAAGCTGAAATTCTAAAAACCAGAGTGCCTCTTCTCCTCCAAAGGATTGCAGCTCCTCGCCAACAATGGAACAAAGCTGGATGGAGAATGACTTTGATGAGTTGACAGAAGCAGGCTTCAGAAGGTCGGTAGTAACAAACTTCTCCGAGCTAACGGAGCATGTTCTAACCATCACAAAGAAGCTAAAAACCTTGAAAAAAGGTGAGACGAATGGCTAACTAGAATAAACAGCATAGAGAAGACCTTAAATGACCTGATGGAGCTGAAAACCATGGCATGAGAACTTCGTGACGCATTCACAAGCTTCAATAGCCGATTTGATCAAGTGGGAGAAACGGTATCAGTGATTGAAGATCATATTAATGAAATAAAGCGAGAAGACAAGTTTGGAGAAAAAAAGAGTAAAAAGGAACGAACACAGACTCCAAGAAATATGGGACTAAGTGAAAAGACTAAATTTATGTTTCATTGGTGTACCTGAAAATGATGGGGAGAATGGAACTAAGTTGGAAAACACTCTTCAAGATATTATGCAGGAGAACTTCCCCAACCTAGCAAGGTAGGCCAACATTCAAATTCAGGAAATACAGAGAACACCACAAAGATACTCCTCGAGAAGAGCAACCCCAAGACCCATAATTGTCAGATTCACCAAGGTGGAAATGAAGGAAAAAATTTTAAGGGCAGCCAGAGAGAAGGGTTGGGTTACCCACAAAGCAAAGCCCATCACACTAACAGCGGATCTCTCAGCAGAAACCCTACGAGCCAGAAGAGAGTGGGGGCCAATATTCAACATTCTTAAAGAAAAGAATTTTCAGCCCAGAATTTCATATCCAGCCAAACTAAGCTTCATAAATGAAGGAGAAATAAAATCCTACACAGACAAGCAAATTCTGAGAGATTTTGTCACCAGCAGGCCTGCCTTACAAGAGCTCCTGAAGGAAGCACTAAACATGGAAAGGAACAACTGGTACCAGCCACTGCAAAAACATGCCAAATTGTAAATACCATCAATGCCATGAAGAAACTGCATCAATTAATGGCAAAATAACCAGCTAACATCATAATGACGGGATCAAATTCACACATACCAATATTAACCTTAAATGTAAATGGCCCAAATGCCCCAATTAAAAGTCACAGACTGGCAAATTGGATAAAGAGTCAAGACCCATCAGTGTGCTGTATTCAGGAGACCCATCTCACGTGCAGAGACACACATAGGCTCAAAATAAAGGGATGGAGGAAGATCTACCAAGCAAATGGAAAGCAAAAAAAAAAAAAAAAGCAGGGGTTGCAATCCTAGTCTCTGATAAAACAGACTTTAAACCAACAAAGATCAAAAGAGACAAAGAAGGCCATTACATAATGGTAAAGGGATGAATTCAACAAGAAGAGTTAACTATCCTAAATATATATGCACCCAAAACAGGAGCACCCAGATTCATAAAGCAAGTCCTTAGAGACCTACAAAGAGACTTAGACTCCCACACAATAATAATGGGAGACGTTAACACCCTAGTGTCAATATTAGACAGATCAAGGGGACAGAAGGTTAACAAGAATATCCAGGACTTGAACTCAGCTCTGCACTAAGTGGACCTAATAGACATCTACAGAACTCTCCACCCCAAATCAACAGAATATACATTCTTCTCAGCACCACATCACTGTTATTCTAAAATTGGCCATATAATTGGAAGTAAAGCACTCCTTAGCAAATGTAAAAGAACATAAATCACAACAAACTGTCTCTCAGACCACAGTGCAATCAAATTAGAACCCAGGATTAAGAAACTCACTCAAAACTGCAACACTAAATGGAAATTGAACAACCTGCTCCTGAATGACTACTGGGTAAATAATGAAATGAAGGCAGAAATAAAGATGTTCTTTGAAACCAATGAGAACAAAGACACAAAGTACCAGAATATCTGGGACACATTTAAAGCAGTGTGTACAGGGAAATTTATAGCACTAAATGCCCACAAGAGACAGCAAGAAAGATCTAAAATCAACATCCCAACATCACAATGAAAATAACTAGAAAAGCAAGAGCAAACACATTCAAAAGCTAGCAGAAGGCAAGAAATAACTAAGATCAGAGCAGAACTGAAGGAGATAGAGACACAAAAAATCCTTTGAAAAATCAGTGAATCCAGGAGCTGGATTTTGAAAAGATCAACAAAGTTGATAGACCACTAGTAAGACTGATAAAGAAGAAAAGAGAGAAGAATCAAATAGATGCAATAAAAAATGATAAAGGGGATATCACCACCAATCCCACAGAAATACAAACTACCATCAGAGAATATTATAAACACCTCGATGCAAATAAACTAGAAAATCTAGACGAAATGGATAAATTCCCGGACACATACACTCTCCCAAGAGTAAACCAGGAAGAAGTTGAATCTCTGAATAGACCAATAATAGGCTCTGAAATTGAGGCAATAATTAATAGCCTACCAACAAAAAAAAGTCCAGGACCAGATGGATTCACAGCCAAATTCTATCAGAGGTACAAAGAGGAGCTGGTACCATTCCTTCTGAAACTATTCCAATCAATAGAAAAAGAGGGAATCCTCCCTGACTCATTTTATGAGGCCAGCATCATCCTGATACCAAAGCCTGGCAGACACACAACAAAAAAAGAGAATTTTAGACCAATATCCCTGATGAACATCAATGTGAAATTCCTCATTAAAATACTGGCAAACTGAATCCAGCAGCACATCAAAAAGCTTATCCACCAAGATCAAGTTGGCTTCATCCCTGGGATGCAAGGCTGGTTCAACATATGCAAATCAATAAATGTAACCCATGACATAAACAAAACCAGCGACAAAAACCACATGATTGTCTCAATAGATGCAGAGCCTTTGACAAAATTCAACAGCCCTTCATGCTAAAAACTCTCAATAAACTAGATATTGATGGAATGTATCTCAAAATAATCAGAGCTATTTATGACAAACCCACAGCCAATATCATACTGAATGGGCAAAAACTGGAAGCATTCCCTTTGACAACTGTCACAAGACAAGGATGCCCTCTCTTACCACTCCTATTTAACATAGGGTTGGAAGTTCTGGCCAGGGCAGTCAGGCAAGGAAAAGAAATAAAGGGTATACAATTAGCAAAAGAGGAAATCAAATTGTCCCTGTTTGCAGATGAGATGATTGTATATATAGAAAACCCCATTTTCTCAGCCCAAAATCTCCTTAAGCTGATAAGCAACTTCAGGAAAGTCTCGGAATACAAAATCAACGTGCCCCCAAATCAAAAGCGTTCCTATACACCAATAACAGACAAACAGAGAGCCAAATCATGAGTGGACTCCCATTCACAATTGCTACAAAGAGAATAAAATACCTAGGACTCCATCTTAAAAGGGATGTGAAGGACGTCTTCAAGGAGAACTACAAACCGTTGCTCAATGAAGTAAAAGAGGACACAAACAAATGGAAGAATGTTCCATGCTCATGCATAGGAAGAACCAATATCGCAAAAATGGCCATACTGCCCAAGGTAATTTATAGATTTAATGCCATCCCCATCAAGCTACCAATGACTTTCTTCACAGAATTGGAAAAAACTACTTTAAAGTTCATACGGAACCAAAAAAGAGCCCACATTGCCAAGACAATCCTAAGCCAAAAGAACAAAGCTGGAGGCATCACGCTACCTGACTTCAAACTACCCTACAAGGCTACAGTAACCAAAACAGCATGGTACTGGTACCAAAACAGAGATATAGACCAATGGAACAGAACAGAGCCCTCAGAGATAACACCATGTATCTACAACCATCTGATCTTTTTTTTTTTTTGAGACGGAGTCTTGCTCTTTCACCCAGGCCGGAGTGCAGTGGCACTATTTCTGCTCACTGCAAGCTCCGCCTCCCGGGTTCACGCCATTCTCCTGCCTCAGCCTCCCGAGTAGCTGGGACTACAGGCGCCCGCCACCGCGCCCGGCTAATTTTTTTTTTGTATTTTTTTTAGTAGAGACGGGGTTTCACTGTGTTAGCCAGGATTGTCTCGATCTCCTGACCTCGTGATCCGCCCGCCCCGGCCTCCCAGAGTGCTGGGATTACAGGCGTGAGCCACCACGCCCGGCCCAACCATCTGATCTTTGACAAACCTGACAAAAACAAGAAATGGGGAAAGGATTCCATATTTAATAAATGGTGTAGGAAAAACTGGCTAGTCATATGTAGAAAGCTGAAACTGGATCCCTTCCTTACACCTTATACAAAAATTAATTCAAGATGGATTAAAGACTTACATGTTAGACCTAAAACCATAAAAACCCTAGAAGAAAACCTAGGCAATACCATTCAGGACATAGGCATGGGCAAGGACTTCATGACTAAAACACCAAAGCAATGGCAACAAAAGCCAAAATTGACAAATGGGATCTAATTAAACTAAAGAGCTTCTGCACAGCAAAAGGAACTACCATCAAAGTGAACAGGCAACCTACAGAATGGGAGAAAATTTTTGCAATCTACCCATCTGACAAAGGGCTAATATCCAGAATCTACAAAGAACTTAAACAAATTTACAAGAAAAAAACAAACAACCCCATCAAAAAGTCGGCAAAGGATATGAACAGACACTTCTCAAAAGAAGACATTTATGCAGCCAACAGACACATGAAAAAATGCTCACCATCACTGGCCATCAGAGAAATGCAGATCAAAACCACAGTGAGATACCATCTCATGCCAGTTAGAATGGTGATCATTAAAAAGTCAGGAAACAACAGATGCTGGAGAGGATATGGAGAAGTAGGAACACTTTTACACTGTTGGTGGGAGTGTAAATTAGTTCAACCATTGTGGAAGACAGTGTGGCAATTCCTCAAGGATCTAGTACTAGAAATACCATTTGACCCAGCCGTCCCATTGCTGGTTATATACCCCAAGGATTATAAATCATGCTACTGTAAAGACACATGCACGTGTATGTTTAAGGCGGCACTATTCACAATAGCAAAGACTTGGAACCAACCCAAATGTCCATCAATGATAGACTGGATTAAGAAAATGTGGCACATATACACCATGGAATACTATGCAGCCATAAAAAAGGATGAGTTCATGTCCTTTGCAGGGACCTAGATGAAGCTGGAAACCATCATTCTGAGCAAACTATCACAAGGACAGAAAACCAGCCACACCGCATGTTTTCACTCATAGGTGGAAACTGAACAATGAGAACACTTGGACACAGGGTGGGGAACATCGCACACTGGGGCCTGCTGGGGTGTGGTGGGCTGGGGGAAGGATAGCATTAGGAGAAGTACCTGATGTAAATGATGAGTTGATGGGTGCAGCAAACCAACATGGCACATGTATACCTATGTAACAAACCTGCACATTCTGCACATGTACCCTAGAACTTAAAGTATAATAATTAAAAAAGAAAATCTGGTACATTTACACCATGGAAAACTATGCAGCAATAAAAAAAGAATGAGATTATGTCCTTTTCAGGAACATGGATGGAGATGGAGGCCATTATCCTTAGCAAACTAATGCTGAAATAGAAAACCGAGTACTGCATGTTCTCACTTACAAATGGGAGCTAAAGGATAAGAACATATGGGCAGAGTGGAGAAATAGACACTGGGGGTTTCTTGTAAGTATATATATATATACTTACGTATATATATACTTACATATATATACTTACATATATATATACTTACATATATATACTTATATATATACTTACATATATATACTTATATATACTTACATATATATACTTACATATATATATACTTACATATATATACTTACATATATATACTTACATATATATATATGAGTTGCATGTTTTGATCTACTTGGGCAATCTCTGTCTTTTAATTGGCATATTTAGACTATTGACATTCCAAGTGATTATTGATATACTTGGATTAATATATACCATATTTGTTACTGTTTATTTGTTGCTCTGGCTTTTTGTTTCTATTTTTGTCTTATACTCTTTTTTCTGCCTATTGTTGTTTTAATTGAGCATTTTATATCATTTTGCTTGTTCTTTTTCCTTAAAAACTGTTTTATTTCCTTTCTTAGGTTTTTTTCCCCATGGTTGCCCTAGAGTTTGCAATATACATTTACGAGTAATGCAACCCACTTTTGAATAAGATGATAATAACAAAATAATACCAATTCCCTTTTCCTGTCCTTCATATCCCCACTGTTATTCGTTTTATTATATACATACTTACATAAGAATATGCCATACAAGATATAAATATAAGCATACAAAATTTAATATGTTATTGCTCTTATTATTTTGAACAAACATCTATTTGTCAATTAAGAATGAGAAAAAAAATAAAAGTTTTTATTTTATATTAACTATTTCTTCTTGGATGTTCTTTCTTACTTTATGTAGCTCTGCATTTCTGGCCTATATTACTTTCCTTCTCTCTAAAATTTTTTTTTAAATGTTTTCTGTAAGGCAAGTCTACTGGAAAAAAATTCCTTCAATTTTTGTTTGTTGGAGAAGTCTTTATTTCTCCTTCACTTTTAAAGGACAATTTTGCAGTTCGTAAAACTTAAGTTATTGTCTTTTTCTCTCTAAACACTTTCATTATTTCATTCTACTCTCTTCTTGCTTGCATGCTTCTGTAAAGAAGTGGCATGTAATTCTTGTCTTTTCTTCCCTTTGGGTAAGACTTCTTTTCCCTTCTGGGTTCTTTCAGAATTTTTTTTCTTTCATCTTTGATTTTCTGTAGTTTGAAAATAATATGCCCAAGTGTAGTTTTTTGTTTTGTTTTTGTTTTATTTTTTGTTTGTTTGTAAAACAACAATGTAAAACAGTTGGACTGCATGGAGTTCTGTGAGATTCCTGGATCTGTGGTTTGGTGCCTGACATTAATTTGGGGAAATTCTTAGTCATTATTTTTTCAAATATTTCTTCTGCTTCTTGCTTTTTTTCTTCCCCTCTGGTATTCCCAATATACATCACATGTTACACCTTTTGTAGTTGTCCCACAGTTCTTGGATATTCTGTTCTTCATTTTTCAGTCTTCGTTCTTTATGCATTTCAGTTTTTGAGGTTTCTTTTGATATATCTTGAAGCTCAGAGATTTTTCCTTAACCGTGTGGAGTCTACGAAAAATCCCATTGTGTTAGTCCATTCTGCTTTGCTTTAAAGGAATACCTGAGACTGGGTAATCTATAAGGAAAAAAAAAAGGCTTATTTGGCTCATGGTTCTACCAGCTCTACAAGAAGCACGGTGTCAGCACCTGCCTCTGGTGAAACCTCAGGAAGCTTTCACTCAAGGTGGAAGGGAAGGGGAGCTGATGTGTTACACAGTAAGAGAGGGAGCAAGAGAGATGCCAGGCTCTTTTAATCAACCAGCTCTTGCATAAACTAATAGATTGAGATCACACTCATCACCATCAAGATGGCACCAAATCCTTCATGAGAGATCAGACTCTGTGAACCAAACACCTCCAACTAGGCCCCGCCTCCAACATTGGGGATCACTTCATGAGACTTGGAGGGGACACATATCCAAACTCTATCACCCATCAAAGGCATTCTTCATTTCTATTACAGTGTTTATCTCTAGCATTTCTTTTTGTTCCTTCCTTAGAATTTCCAGCTCTCTGCTTGTATTGAGCATCTGTTCTTACATGCTGTCTACTTTATCTATTACAGCTCGTATCATATTAATTATGGTTGTTTAAATTCACTTACTGATAGTTCCAACATTCCTGCAATATCTGGTTCTGATGCTTTCTCTGTCTCTTCAAACTGCCTTTTGCCTTTTAGTATAACTTATAATTTCTTGATAGCTGGACAAGATGAATTAAGTATAAGAAACTGCTGCAGATAGGTTTCTAGTAATGTGGTGGTAAGGTGGATGGCGGGAGAGGAAGTGGTCTGTGGTCCTATTTTAGAGCCTCTTGCCTCTAGACTAGGAAGTTAAGTTTTTTTATTTGTTTTTTTCATACTGAGTCATCTTAATTTTCTTCTACTTCTTTTAACATCTAGCACATTTTGCTGTAGACTAAGAAAATAAGATAAAATACAGTTGAACCTCCTCCATAGGTTCTGCATCCACAGATTCAACAAATAGTGGATTGAAAACAGTATTCAAGGAATGCAGAACCCCCTGTTTCTAAGGGTCAGTTGATCATAACCACGGTTTCTTTGGGGTGGACTATGGAACTTGAACCTCAGCGAATTTTGATATCCCCAAGCATCCTGGAACCCATACCGAGGGATGACTATATTTCTATGAAAGCTCACCCCCCAGAATGCCTTATGTAAAGTTAAATGCATGCCCGTGTGTGTATACATGCATGCTCTTAAATAAACTACTGCCCAGTCTTGGTTATGTAAGATTCTAGAAAATCTGAAAGGAAATATATAAAAGGAAGGAGAAAAAAGTTGCTGTAGTGCCCTTGAAGCTCAATAATACAGCAGCCAAAAGAAAACCTTTAGAATCACAAGGGAAACACAATTTACAGCCAGAAGCTCACCGTAATATCTTTAGTACTTGACAAAGAAATGGGTAGAATCAAGTTAGTGATTATGCAGCTGAACATAGTACAGTTTGTGGCATTTGCTTACAAAAACATGCAAGAAACTGTATGATTACTAAGTGCCCTTTGCATATATGATTTGCTACTTTCATTTCTGCTCCCCCTTGAAACTGTTTTACTGTCTGGAATTACTATGAGAAAAATCCATGTTATTTTTTATAGGCCATATCTTTAATTAGTTAATTAATTAATTTGGTTTTCATGTCAGTTTCCATTCCCCAAAGTAATGTGGGAAGACTGTTTACAGAGTCATAATATGCTAAAGAGTTGTAACAAAAGTAACATGCTTCCTACTCCACACCAAACTGCTTGCCAAAAGCAACCATTTCAACTCATTCAGTGGTTTCTTCTGGTTTTTACTTCCTAAATAAAGCATTTATTACTATTATCGATATCTCCTGAGAGGTCCAAGTTAGATGCCATCTCTCGACCTTCCTGTTGTGAAAAAGGAGGTTCACTTACATCCTTTCTCCTGTCCTTTCAACATCATAACGCCACAATTTTTGGTTACATTCACAATCACTAAAAAGTGTACACGGCCGACCAACTAATATGCTATGTTTTTCTTTTTTTATTTCAATAGTTTTGGGGGAACAGGAGGTGTTTGGTTCGATGTGAAAGTTCTTTAGTGGTGATTTTTGAAATTTATCCTTCACCCCCCTCCCACCCTTCCCCCTGAGTCCCCAAAGTCCCTAGGATGGATAGGATTGCTAGCTTAGACTAGAGTTGGATATTTCCTTTCTCTTGTATTACGTGCTAGAGTGAGTTAGAGCTGAAAATTTCCCTTCTCCGAGGTCAGTTAGACTCTAATAAAGTCCTAGCAGGTTAAGCTTTGGTTAACTAGTTTTTCCTGAGGACATATTTTGTTAAGAAGAACAGTGTTCTGGCATATTTCAAAATGATTTCTTTTTCCTATTCCCCTGCTGGAAGCATGAGGGCATTTTTCTGATATTTAGTGCAAGAACTCCTGGAGGTAAAACTCAAAAAAGTGTGGGAGCCCCTTCTAATACTGGGTACCCTGGAGTTTTTAACTGTGAAACTTACGCACGCTTCGCCTCCAGAATTTTGCTGATTAGAGTTCAAGTTTTCTTACTCCAGGACTGGTTCCTATGAAGGTTTCTGCTCTGGTATGTTGTGACTCTATACCTGCTTGTCTGTCTTTTCAATTTTCAGGGCAGTCATTTGCCATGAACTCAATTATGTTATGTATCTGAAAAAAGTTGTTGATTTTTTGGATTGTTCATCTTTTTACTTGTTGTTAGGATGGAGCAGTGACTTCCAAGCTCCTTATATGCAGAAATGGCAATTAAAATTACAACTTTTTTTTTACTTTAGTTTTTTTTTACAAATATAAGAAGGGCTGTGATTTTGTTGCTCAACGTTTACTTTCTCAATCAGTATGCTTAATATTCATAACAACACTTTTGTACATATGGAACTTGGGAAGAAAGAGATTAAATGACTTGCATAAGGTCACAGAGTAAATAAGTGGTGAATCAAGGGACTTCAACACAGGCTTGTCTGACACAAAAATAAGTGCATTTTAGCCTATACCACGTGGTCTCTGGGGCTCGCTCTAGGGTAGGCAGATATGATCTGCCTTATACTTGAAAAAGAATAGCTAATTATTGGATTTTCTATGAAAATATGTTAGGGAATGGCAGAGATTAGGATCAACCCTACTCAGATCTCATGGACTGAGAGGGAATGTGTGGTCCCCAAAGTAAATCAAGGGGTCTGTAATACAGAATTCTAAGATGGCCTCCAAGTTGTTGCCGTGGTGTTTATACCCTGTATAATCCTCTCCTCTTGAGTTTGGGCAGGACCTGTGAATAGGTTATATGGCAAAGGTGAAAAGACTTTTCAGATATAAATTCCCTAATCCGTTGATTATGAGTCAATCAAAAGGGATAGTATACTGGCTGTGCCTGACCTAATCAAGTGAGCCCTTTTAAAAAGGGACTAAGCCTTCTCTAAAGTCATAGTCTCAAAGCAGCAAAGATACCCTTTTGCTGGACTTGAATAAACAAACAACCGTGTTGTGAACTGCCTGTGAAAAGGGGAAGCCATTAGGATCTGAGATCCTCAGTCCTACAGCAGCAAGGACCTGAACTCTACTGACAATTTAAATGAGGCTGGAAGCAGATCCCCACCTCCAGATTAGCACATAGCTCAGCTGACATACATGATTGCAACCTTAGAAAACCCTGAATTGAGGATGCAGCGTAGCTGTGCCCAGACTACTGATGCATAGAAACTGTAAGGTAAAAAATCAGTGTTGTTTTAAGCCATTAAGTGTGTGGTAATTTGTTATACAAAATGGAAAACTAATGCAAGGTCATTATCTTGTTTGGGGCAGGGTAAAATATCAGCCACCTTTGTCTTACTCCATCTAGTGCTGCTATAATGGAATACTTAAGACTGGATAATATATAAAAAAGAGAAATGTATTTCCTCACAGTTCTAGAGACTGGGAAGTCCAATATTAAGATGCCAGCATCTTGTGAGGACCTTCTTGCTGCATCATCACAGGGTAGAAGGCATCACATGGTGGAAGGGTGAAGAGGGAACAAAAGGGAGCTGACTTGTCCTTTTATAATAGCATTAATCCACCCATGAGGGAGGACACCACATGGCCTAATCACCTCTCAGAAGTCCCAGCTCTTCGCCAGACTTGGTGGCACATGCCTGTAGTCCTGTAGTTCAAGCTACTTAAGAGGCTGAGGTGGGAGGACCATTGGAGCCCCCAAATTCAAGGCTGCAGTGAGCTATAATTGCACCACTGCACTTAAGCCTGAGCAACAGAATGAGACATCATCTTAAAATTTAAAATGTCCCTGCTCTTACTACTGTTACAATGGCAATTAAATTTCAACGTGAATTTTGGAGAGGACAAACATCCAAACCATAGCAACTCCCTCCAGGTCTCCCTCCTGTTCTAGGTGTTCTGCCTAGCTGCCTAGAGAAAGCGATGTAAAAAGCTGAGGCATAAATATCAGAAACAGCTATCTATGCAAAGAAGAATATAAATATTTCAGAAATAGAGGCCAACTTGCACAAAGGGCTAGAGGTGAAAAAGAGAGAGAAAGGCTCATTCTGATTTGAGATATCACAAAATGCTTTTTAGAAAAGCTGAGACTTACTGTATTCGTGAGAAAGAAAAAGAAAATCCTCAAATCCCTCCTTCTGCCATTGCAGCTTACTTGGCAGAATGTCTGTTGAGGATGTCTCAGAGCACATTTTATTTACCCCACCAAGTTTTAGGCTTTTTTCAGATGGCAGTGAAATAATTAATCACCAGCAGAAGTTTGAAAACAGTCCATTCAGTGGGGAGAGAAAAAATTTTCTGTCAACTGACTTGGAGACCAAACAAGTAGATGATTGAATTTCTTTCCTTAGGAAGGGACCAGCTGACACAGTAATTGAGAAAAGCAGAATTTCCTCCTATCCCTAGAGAAGAAAAGAGTTTCATTTTTACAGTTGATATATTCCCTCTGAGTAGGGAGGCATTTCATCAATTCATTTCATGTTGTGATTTAATTTCATTTCTCTTAAACTAATTAGATACTGACTTCCTTCTGCCTCCACACTCAGTGGGTAGTGAGGAGAGATTCTAGATTGGCCTCTGATGCCTGAGGTCAGAAGACCAGAATCCAGAAGTGGGCTCTGTAGCTTCTTTGTAAAAATATCTTTTTTGGCCAGGGGTGATAGCTCACGCCTGTAATCCCAGCACTTTGGGAGGCCGAGATAAGCAGATCACCTGAGGTCAAGAGTTCAAGACCAGCCTGGCCAACATGGTGAAACCCTGTCTCTACTAAAAATACAAAAAAATAGCCTGGCATGGTGGTGCGCCCCTGTGGTCCCAGCTACTCTGGAGGCTGAGGTTGGAGAATTGCTTTAACCAGGGAGGCGGAGGTTGCAGTGAGCTGAGATCATGCCATTGCATTCCAGCCTGGGTGATAGAGCAAGACTTCATCTCAAAAACAAAAACAAAAACAATCTTTATTTTATTATTGAGGTGTAATTCACATAAACATTAACTTCAACATTGTAAGGTCTACGATCCAGTGGTTTTCAGTGAATTCACTGTGTTGTATAACCATCCAGTCAACTAATTCTAAATCTTTTCTACTCCTCTCTTCCCCGAGTATCTCATACCTACTAGCAGACAACCTCAATTCCAATTCCTCCTTACTCTATCACCAGGTAACAATTTATCAGCTTTCTGTCACTATGGAATTGCTTATTCTGTACATTTCAAACAAATGGAATCATACAATATGTGGGCTTTGGTGTCTGGCTTCTTTCACTCAGCATGTTTTCAAGGTTTGTCCATGTCACAGCATGTACCAATATTTCATTCCTTTTTATAGCTGAATAATATAACATCATATAAACATATCATTTTTTATCCATTGATCATTGATAGACATTAGTTGTGTTTTCACTTTTTTGCTATTATGAATAATCCTCCTTATAAACATTTTTGAAAATGTTTTTGTGTGAAAATATGTTATCAGTTATCTTGGGTATATACCTAAAAGTTAAATTGCTGGGCCATGTAGTAATTCTATATTTAACATTTTGAGGAACTGCTAAAGTTTTTTGTATTCTACCAGCAGTGCAAAAGGGTCCAGTTTCTGCACATCCTCACCAATGCTTGTTATTTTCCACTTTCTTTATTTCATCATAAGCATCATACTAGGAGTGAAGTAGTATCACATTATGGTTTTGATGTGTATCTCTCTAATAACTAATGATGCTGAGCACCTTTTCATTGGCTTATTAGCTATTTGTATATCTTCATTGTTGTGGTACCTATTCAAATTATTTGCCTATGTTTTAATTTGATTGTGTTTATGTTGTTGAGTTATAGGAGTTATTTATATATTCTAGATATTAAACCTCTGTAAAGTATGATTTGCAAATATTTCTACCATTTTGTGAGTTGTCTTCCCACTGTCCTGATAGTGCTTTTAATGCACAAAAGTTTTAAATGTTAATCAAGTCTAATGCATCTAGTTTTTGTTTTGTTGCCTATAGGTGTGGGTGCAAATTCATTCTCTTGCATATAGGTATCCAACCGTCCCAGCGCCATTTTATAAAAAGACTATACATTTACCATTGGATGGTCTTGGCACCTGTGTCAAAAATTAATCACAAACAGATGTATGGATTTATTTTTGTACTCTCAATTCTGTTCATTGGTCTATATGTCCATCCTTATACTAGTACTACACTGTCTTGATTACTATAGCTTTGTAGTAAGTTTTGAATTAACTTGAGAAGTCCTCCATCCAACTTTGTTCTTTGCAGTGTTTTCTTTTCTTTTTGTAACAGACAGAATCTTGCCATGTTCCCCGGGCTAAAGCGTAGTGGCTATTCACAGGCACAATCATTGCATACTACGGTCTCGAACTCCTGGGTTCAAACGATCTTCCTGCCTCAGCCTTGCAGGTAGCTAGGACAATAGACATGTGCCACTACACCTGACTTTGTAGTAAGTTTTGAGCTTACTCACCCTTTGCACAGTGTGAATCCTCCTATTTTGGCTATTCTGGGTCTCTTGCATTTTCATTATAAATTTTAGGATCAGCTTGCCCATAGCTTCTGAAAGTGAGCTGAGTTTACAGCCATAATCCTAGTTTGTTTTAAGTTAGTGGCTCTTTTTATTTTTGAGCAGGTGGGGATGAGAGATAGAGCAGACAACAGGGCTACAGGCTCCAAGCCCTCAGGACTATACTGAGTCTGGGTAACATGGTTCACTAAGAGAGCAGCAAGATTCTGAATGCAGCACCTCAAAGCTTTCATGTGCATGTGAATCATGCAGCAGTCTGGTTCTAATGCAGGTTCTAATTTAGTAGGTCTGAAGCTGTATTAATCCATTTTCACACTGCTATAACAAATTACTTGAGACTGGGCAATTTATAAAGGAAATAGGTTTAACTGACTCACAGTTCCGCATGGCTGGGGAAACCTCAGGAAACTTACAATCATGGTGGAAGGCAAAGGAGGAGCAAGTACCTTCTTCACAGGGCTGCAGGAGAGAGAGAATAGCAAAGGGGGCACTGCCAAACACTTTTAAAACCATCAGCTATTGTGATAACTCACTCACTATCATGAGAACAGCATGGGGGAAACCTCCCCCATGAGCCAATCACCTCCCAGCAGGTCTCTCCCTCAACACATAGGAATTACAATTCTAGATCAGATTTGGCCGGGACACAGAGCCAAACCATGTCAGAGGCAGAGTCTAAAACTGTTTCTGACAAACTCTCAGGTGAAACGGATGCTGCTGGTCACTGAAGCATACTTTGACAAGCAAAGCACAATTGACATTAGTAAGAACTATCCAGCAGTCCAAAAAAGGAGGTAAAGCATTGAGACATTCAAACTGTTCCATCTAGCAAAAAAGAAAAAGAAAAGAAAAGAAAGAAAAGTCTGTAAGGGGAAATAAAGGGACTTGGCAAAGTCCACAAAACTAGGTAGCAGCAGAGTTGGGTTTAGGAATTCTGGTTTCAGACGCTGAGTTAAATGTTTATTCCCCAATACATGGCTGCCTCCTATGTCAATTACCATTCACTCTACCCAAAGTACTTCTCCTCCCAAGATTCTCATCCAATTTCTCCTTTGTTTATTGCTTTTTATCGGCAGATTTCTTCAAAAGATAAACATTAGAGTTAAAAGGGGCATGCAAGTGTGATGGGTGTTCACATAGGGAACTATCTGTAGTACCCTAGTGCTATTTCTGGGCACAGAACTGACAGAGAGACTAATATCTATGTAGGCAAAGTGGTCATCTCAGTCTGTTTACAGACATTGGAATGTGTTATTCTGTATGTCTGTGGGAAAAAAAAAGTAACTTAACCACAGGTATGGTTTGGATATTTGACCCCTCCAAACCTCATGTTGAAATTTTATCCCCAGTGTTGGAGGTGAAGCCTAACAAAAAGCTGCAAACAAAGAAGAAATTGGCTGGGATTCTTGGGTAGAGTGAATGGTAATTGACATAGGAGACAGCCACAGGTTGGGGAATAAACATTTAACTGTTCATAAGTATTGCTATAAAGAAATATCTGAGGCTGGGTAGTTTACAAAAAACATGATTTATTTGGTTCATAGTTCTGCAGGCTGTGCAAGAAGCATGGTGCCAGCATCTGGTTCTGATGAGGGCCTCAAGCTGCTTTCACTCATGGTGAAAGGCAAAGGGGAACTGTGCACATCACCTTGTGAGAGAGAGGAAGGAAGAGAGAAAGAGTAAGTAGGGAGTGCCAGGATCTTTGCAACAACCAGTTCTCCTGGGAATTAATAGTGTGAGAATTCACTCATTACTGTGAGAATAGCACCAAACCATTAATGAGGGATCTGCCACTATGACCCAAACACTTCCCATTAGGCCCCGCCTCCAACATTGGGGATCAAATTTCAACATGAGCTTTGGAGCGGTCAAATATCCAAACTATAGCAGTGGTTAAATTACTTTTTCCCCCCTACAAACATACAGAATTACAAGTTCTATGTGTTGTAGGCAAAATTCTAAGACAGTCCTCAAGATTCCTCATACCCTTTATAACCCCAGGAACAGTGACTATAATAAATTTCATTTCCATGATTTGGTTATGTTATGTTGATTTTATAGAAAGGGTGATTATTTAGGTAGTCCTGACCTAATCACATGAGCCCTTTAAATCTAACATCATAGACAGGGAAGTAAGAGATTTGAGGCACAAGGCAGATTTGACATACCACTGTCTGCCTGAAGATGGAGGGAATCATGTCCCAAGAAAATCGGGACCTCAGTCCGACAACTGCAAGGAACTAAATTCTGCCGACAAGGAGAATAAAATTGGAAGCAGACTATTCCCCAGAGACTCCAGACAAAAACTTCAGTCCTGGCTGCTGGACATCTGACCTACAAAACTGTGAGCTAATAAATGGGTATTTGTTAAGTCACTAAGTTTGTGGTAATTTGCTATACAGTGATGGAGATACTATGCCTTTTTGATGAATGACTGGACTGGGTACCTATATTCCCCTCACTATCACGGCACTCAGAGTCACATTTGTGGCAAAAATGTTAACAGTTATAGAGGACTTTACAATGTGTAAGTCTATTTTCAATATTTTTATCTTTGTCACGTCTTCCCGTACTTTTGTGTATTTTGCTTGATTTTTCTATCCCTAATTATGTTTTAACATTTCATTTTGTGTAATCTTTTTTTAGTCTCATTATAAAAGCAATATGCGCTCATTGTAGAAGTGTGGAAAATACAGTTAGGCACAAGAAAAAAAAATAGGCATTAGAATTCTATCACTTCATCTGGAAAAAACAACTGTTAATGTTTTGCTGTATTCTTCTCAGTCTATTTCCCTGTGCCCATATGTATATTTTTATGTAATGAAATCACAGTGTATTATTATGCATAATCTGGTTGCAAGCTGCCTCAAAACTTTTGAGGAAAAAACAAGAAAGAAATTAACATGTGTTCATTGGTTTGAAGGTAGTTTTCTTTGAGCAGCTGGTTGTTGAGGTCAGCATATCTCACCTTTTTTGTTCGTTTCTTTATGTTTGTTCCATGACACTTAGTGTTCATCTCTGTTGAGGGTCCCTGAGACCACCTCCAGATTCAGTGATTTGCTAGGAGGACTCAAGACTCAGCATAGAGTCTCACTCATGACTATGATTTATTATGGCATAAAGATACAAGGAAAAACCAGCAAAGTTGCATGGGCACAAGTTCTGATGGAAACCTGGAACAAGATTTAAGAGTCCTCTCCCAGGGAAGCCACACAAGACACATATTTAATTCCTCTAATGTAGAATTGCCATGTGAAGTGTTATCTGCTAAGGAAACTCATCAGTGACTCAGAGTTCAAGGAATATATTGAGACTGGTCATTTAGGCAACCTCTGCCTAGCATGTACCAGAATTCCAAACTTCCAGAAAGAAAGCAGGTGTTTAGCATAAATCATATTGTTTGCACAAACAGCTTAGGCACAGTGATCCCCTCTTCAGTTAGCAAGTAGTGGGAGCCCTCCAAAATCCAAATTCCCAGAGTACAGCCAACTGCCAACTCTGTAAGCATGTCTTTCTAAGATAGTAGACCTGCTATGTTAAATCTTTCTGCATATCACCTGAATACCACACTCTCATGGTTCTCCTGAGCTTATGTACAATACCTAGCACCTTAGACATTCTCTCTCACATAGAGTATAATAGAATAGGGATGAGTGATAATAAGCTCGATATATTTTTAAAGTCAACCATAAACATATGTCTATTAAATGTGTATTAAGGTAATTATTAAGTTAGATGGATAGATGACCACGAAAGACCAATACCATGGTGAACCAGGGCTCTGGGTGGCCTACCTAGAAAGTCTGGATTTAGAGTGCTGCCTCTACTTCCTGAAGGTTTCTTTCTGCCTTTCCCCACCGGAATCAAGACTCCTAGCTAAAGGTCAGGCCCAGAGTTTCATGATGTGCTATAAGGTTAAGATTGAGACTTGTGGCCAGGCGCGGTGGCTCATGCCTGTAATCCCAGCACTTTGGGAGGCTGAGCTGGGCAGATCACCTGAGGTCAGAGGTTCGAGACCAGCCTGACCAACACAGAGAAACCCTGGCTCTACTAAGAATACAAAATTTGCCAGGCGTGTTGGCACATGCCTGTAATCCCAGCCACTCAGGAGGCTGAGGCAGGAGAAGAGCTTGAACCCAGGAGGCGGAAGTCGCGGTGAGCCGAGATCACGCCAATGCACTCCAGCCTGGGCAACAAGAGCAAAACTCCATCTCAAAAAAAGAAAGTTTGAGACTTGTCTCATAGAGCTTTGCACAATGAGGGGCAGTACATTATCTCGGAGGACTTTTCCTCACTGATCCAGGCCCATGTGGAGGTGACTAGAAGGAAAGGATGACCTTGTCTTTGCTGTTAAGATTCCTGTGATTTTTCTGGCTTCAAATATGTCACTTATAAATCTGGGTCTCTAAGATTTGCCTTTCATTCTGGGGACACCTGATAGACATGGATCATATTTTGGTATGCTTTTGTCCCTACACAAGAATTGCTTTTACCTTGGGATTAAGATGTGTCTTTGAAAATGAAGGGGAGTTTATAGGGTGCCTTCTAGTTCATAGGGGGCCTGCTGGTTTATAGGATGCCTTCTTTATGCATTAGCAAAAGTAAGCCCTCCTGGGTTTATGCAGCCCCAGGGCTTCGTGAGTGCACTTGGGACAATTGTCAGAAAAATGCTCCCTCTGGGAGGGGAAAGTAGCTCCACACCATTGTTCCAGTCTTGGAGAGTGGAGCTATGGCTGGATTTCAGTTCCCACTCACCACCTCTGCTGGGCACATTTTGCGTTAACACAGTTGAGTACAACTACATATGATGGGAAGGTTGGTGGATGTGGAGCTATCTGTAGATGCATGTTTTGGGGAGTATAGCACTATATCCCTGTGTCCTCTCCTTTAAGAACCAAAATGCCCTATCTGGTTCTCTGCCCTCCCAGTGAGGAAAACAAGTTCTTACAGCCAGATGGATTATTTTGAGTCAGCCGTCACAAGTGGAATAACAGGGAAGGGACTGCTTAATGTAGAGGAGTAGCATGGATTTTCATCAGTTTATTTCATCATGGAGAATATACATAACTCGTTATTGAATTATTATGCCCAAGGGTTCTCATACCTACCTTTAAAATATGATAAGTTAAATATTGAGACACGAAAAATAAAATTTTAGCAAGGAAAAGCTGCCTTACTATCTATGATGTCGATGTCATTTAAGAACCTCAATAAGCCTTTGTTTCTTCATCTGTAGAATGGGGGTGAAAAATAATACCTAGTTCCTAGGATTGTTCTAAAGGCTAAATGAAATGACAAACAAATCAACACATGCTAGTTTCCTCTTCAATCTTTCCCTTTTTTCTAATTCCCCGCGTTTATATGGTATTGAGATTACAAAGCACTTTTATTTCAAAAGACAGCTGATTCTCAAAATTGACCTACAAGGTAAACAATGAGGAGGAATAAAAGACCTCAGATTCCAGCAGGCCTGGGTATATGTTTACATGTCTGAATATGAGTTTCAGATGCAATCTCTTCTCTCTTCATTGTTCACATTATAAATAGGACACAATGAGAGCCTGTTGGAAAAACCAACCACATATACAAATCCCTCTAGTATTTGGGGAAGATTTCACCACATGGCAACTGGGTCTTGTTTTTTTCATGGGCAAGAAACATGGATAAAATGATACTTTAACTGGTTGGATCTGTCCTGTTTCAGTTGAGTTTTATGCGTAGAGGAGTCTTCATTACATGGCTGTGTGTTACCTGCTTCAATCTCTCTTAATTGTTAAAATCAGAATTGTTAAAATTGGCAGTCCTATAAAAGAGGATTTACAAATAGAGAGTATAGTACAGAGAAATGTTAAATCACATTATTCAAAGCACTTGAGTTCTATTTTTAAGCATTTTACTGTTCTGTGAAATAATGTTATTGTCTGCCCAATTTTGCCAAGTCAGAATGAACTGCTGTGAATGAAACAAAATATTCACTCAGGGACGTGCTGGTACTCTGAAAAGTTATCCTCCTAAAAAATAGTTTTTCAGATTCTTCCTTTGTGTCTGAAGTCAGATTCTTTTGGCTGCTGCAACTGACTGAAACTTCCACTCAATATACCACAAGCCAAAAATCAGAAATTTTATTGACCAGATACAGTTAGTTGCAGGGGGAGAGGACAGTTGAGCATCACAAGAAGCAAAAAGCAAGGGCTGGAAAAGCCTCAGGAGATCAGGCTTCAATTAGCCACTGTCACTTCAATTCTGTTTTTCTCTAAGATTTTGCCTTATTTTTAACTCACTTTTCAAACTAGCTTTCGCTGTTTCAGCATTTGTAGGACAGAAGGTTGCTGCTGTAAGGAGGTGGGTCACATGACCAATTTTGGTCCAATAAGCTACGGCTAAGAGGGTTGGAGGGGGGAATAGACCAAAGGTGAGCCAATAAGATTCTCTTCAAGACCAACTATGAGTTGCTTTAACGGGATGCTTGAACCAAGACCGTGAAAACTTGAGAGGAGAACTTGTCAATGCCCATTTAAGCAGGAAGTCTTTCTCCTTTTCCTTTGCTTGTTCAACCTGAATCTTCATATTTGCCTCTGTGTACACACTACTTCATTCATTGTCATTCTCCATTTGTCTCTGCCATTCCCGTAGGTCAGTTTTGATGGCTCCAGGGTACGGCACGTGGCCAGACATGGCTGACTCACACTTTTTGCACACTCATGTGTCTTTTAGTCCAGACCAGTGGCAGAAACTAGCTAGTGTCTCCTAATACCAGTTCTAACATTTAGGGAAAGAATGAGAATGGGTTGTTGTGAGGATCAAATGGGTTAATGTAGTCTAATGCCCAGCACATCGTAAGCACTCTATACACATTAGCTATTCTTCTTCTTCTTCAAGACCCTATTTGGGTGTTCTCTGTCCAATCTGCATGCTATTATCCCTACTCTCTTGGCCCCAGCCAGAATAAATCACTTCTTTCCCGCCCTTGCTGCTGGAGCTTACGCATGCTTCTTTTTTCACTGTGTATGTTCCCTGTGATATTACAGTTATTTACTGGCATGCCTGTTTCTCATTCTAGACGCTAAGCATCTTGTGGGTAGGAGCCATTTCCCTCTCTCTTTGAACTGATTGTTAGGGATGAGGTCTTGTGCAACAGCACCTGATGCATGGTAAGGGCTCCAGAAATGTTTGCCAGACTGAATGGAAGGCGTCTTTAGGGGCAAATTTCTCTTACTAATGGAAACTTGGGGATAAGCTGATTTTCTTTGGCCCTGCTCCCATGCCTTGTTGACTTCCAAATAGCAAACTACAAGGCAGACTTCTGAATTACAGGTTATCTTTAAGCACTTAGTTAATGTGGGCCAAAGGTCCCCTGGGTCGTTTTAGTGGCTCACCGGTGCAGGAGGAGTTTAATCAAGAGTAACTTCCTAGGAAGCAAGTGCGAATACAACTTTAGCTCCTTCTGGCTCCAAAAGGTGACTCTGGATGGAAACATTGTGTTCAAATGTCTGTGTGGTATACACAGTTGTATACACAGGATCATGTCCATGATATGAGTCCAAGTGCTAATTAATAAAGGGATTAAAGCATCAGCCTCACTCTTTGTTCCTGGCTTCTTTTCCTAGAATTCTCTATTCCCTTTGCATCCTTCTGTCTCACAGTCCTTGCAGTCCCTTCTCCTTCCTCTGCTACCTAGCCACTCTTCCCTGTACCCTTTCAGATGCCTATTTGTCATTGGGTTTGTTTGTTGCAGGTGTGTGGGTGTATATTTCCAGTGTTTTTAGTTTTGTGACATACAGGTCATCATAGCCTCCTGCACCTTTATTTCTAAGATTGCTGTCAACACACATCCACTTAAATTAGTGTTCTCATCTCAATCAATATACGTGGAGGTAGTAAATTTTTATGCCAGAATAAAGAAAGAAGGAGGCAGGAGGAACAGAAAGAAAGGAGAGCTGAGGAATATCTTTCACTCTTTAACTTGCAAACAACCCAGGAAGGTAAGGAGGGCAGTTTCTATGATCAACTCGAGGGAGAAAATGGAAATGGGAGGCAGTTAAGAGAAGCCATTTGCTAATTAGGACCAAGGATAGAATTTGAAACCTAGGTCTTTCGATCCCTAGTCACTGTTTTTCTGTCCTACTGGAATGCTTCTCAAATATGCTGCCTTTAAAAAAGTAACATCATTTCTTGTATACCATGCAAGAAACAATCAGGCCTTAAAAATTTAGACCAAGGGGTTGGCTAACTGTGGCCTATAGGACAAATCCAGCCTGCCACCTGTTTCTGTATGCTCTGTGAGCTAAGAATGTTTTTTACATTTTCTAATGGTTAAAAAAATAAAAAAGAATAATATTCCTTGGCATATGGAAGTGATATGAAATTCAAGTTTTAGTGTCTATAAATAGTTTCATTAAAATACAGTCGAGCCCACTTATTTGCCTATGGCTACCTTCATGTGACAACGGTAGCGTTGAGTAGCTGCTTACATACAGACAGGAACTGTATGGACCACAACGCTGAAACTATTTGCTATGTGACCCTTCGTAGAAACGCTTCTCTGGCCACTGATTTAGATGCTTGCTACCTAAAGTGCAGTCTATACACCTGCAGCCTAGGAGTAACCTGGGAGCATGCTAGAATTGTAGAAACTCAGGCACTTTCCAAACCTATGGACTAGGCAGCTGCATTTTAATAAGAACCTCTGGTGATTCATATGCACGTTGAAGCCTGAGAAGCTCAAGCTCAGAAAATAGTTGACTAGGGCTTTCTCTCATTAGACAAGCAGGATGGTTACTGGAAAGAAAATGAGCCTAGGGGTTAGACAGGGATGAATTTAAAATTGTGTTTCCACTGCTGAGTGGCTTCAGTTTCCTCGCCTGAAAAGTAAGGATAAATATGCTTTCCTCATCAGTTTCTTTTGGATTGGATGGTGTGTTAGCTTCCTAGGGTTTCCCTAACAAATTACCTTAAATTTGGTAGCTTAAAATGACAGAAATGTATTCTCTCACAGCTCTAGAAGTTAGAAGTCTGAAACCAAATGTCAGCAGAGCCATGCCATCTCCAAAGGATCTAGGGGACAATTTTTCCTTGCCTCTGCCAGCTTCTGATAATTCCAGGTGTTCCTTAGCTGTGGCAGTATAAACTCACTGCCCTCACATGGCTTTCCTCTCTGTGTGTCTCTGTATGTCCTCTCCTCTTCTTATAAGGACATCAGTCATTGGATTTAGAGATCACTCTAAATCCATTATCACATCATCTCAAGATCCTTACCTAATTACATCTGCAAAGAACTTATTTCCAAATAAGATCATATCTGAGGTTCTGAGTGGATATGGATTTGACCAGAACATTAGTCAACCCACTTCAGATTACATAAATACAGTTCAAACATCTGGCACATGGTAGGCATTTAAGACAGGTTTCCTATGCCTCTTTCCCCTCTTTAATTCAAATGACTCCAAGGCCGAGAATAGAGTGGGGACATGTTGTGGGAATCCCAGTGGGTACGTTTCACATTTTGACAGAGGAACATCTCCTTCACCAGGACACAGAGATGACGATGCTTTCATGACCTGCATCCTGGAGCTAAACCAGTTCTTTTCTCCTCTACGTTTTGGAGCGAAAGTACCTTTCAAGTGAAGGAACAGATGAATGCAAAGAAATAAGCCATCAGCAAGAAGAGACTGACAGTGCAGTGGTTTTACGTGAAGCTCTCGTTCTCTCCTCTCTGCTACTTTTGTGCCTGCCTTGGGAGGAGATGAATATTCTCAGTGAAATTCCTGAAGGCCATGGCTTTCTGTTGTACTGGCTTTTCCTTACTATGAAACACATGTAGATCTCAAGAGAAAGTGAGTCAGGAACCCAATTTCGACTTTCTCATGAGCAAATCTTAAACAGGCATTAGCTTGGGGGTAAATCAGATTTAGGGTCTCCTATTGGATATTACTGCTGGCAACTTTTAGATTGCCGAGTAATGTGACAAGCTATTGAGCCAATTCCACACTCTTATCTCCCATTGCCTTTGTATATATAATCAGCCACATCTGCTTTCTGAAGTTCTGGGTTACACTTTCCTCTCATATTGCACGTCTATTCCACGGATCTGGTCTCTTCTGTATTAATTACCCAATTAGCCACCAGTGGTGCACATTATAACTTTGCATTTCCTGTAAACAGCCTCCCTGATAGGAGATATGTTGAAATCTCCTCTGTACCCAGCAACCAAGTGCTGTAATTCTCAGCGCAGCACCTGTCTCAGAGCTGAAACAAATCAATCGCTAAATGTGACTGCAGCTAGATTACTAACTCAATCTTCTGTTCTCCAAGGGGGAAAGAGGCGCAACCTTTAATACTGAGGAGCCTGCTGAACAAAAGTAGGAGCTTTGTTATTGGTAAGAAAATATCTGCCAGGAAGGGGAAACCCTGATCTTGGAGGGGGTTTTACTTTTACATGTTTATAACATTTATTTTAAAGTAGAATTGTTTGGTTTTTATTTTCTGATCCTGTTTTGGGTGAGGGGCATAGAATCATGCCCATTAAAACTCTTTTGTTCTGCATGTTGTAGTTTAAAGAGAGTATGCTTTATTTTCCTACAGAAAAATTTGGAGAACCAAGGTATGTTGCCCCCAAAATAGGAAATACGATTGCCTTTGAAGAATTAAACTTTAAGCTCAGTAGATACAGGATTAAGGCAAAGTCATCTTAAAGCAGTAAGGTGATTCTCAATCCTGCCTGCATGTTAGACACATCTAGAGGGCGTTTAAAAAATGCTCTTGCCCCAGGCATGCCACCAGAGATTCTTATTTAATTGGACCAGGGTAGTGCCCAGGTGTTTCATTAAAACCTCCAAAGTGATTCTCACTAGCTGTCAGGGTTGAGAATGTTGCCTTAAAGAAACAGAGTAGCTTATAGGCGTCAGTGCTTCACTCATATCACAGAATTCTTCTAAAGAAAGAATGTGTCTTTCAGAAGGAGGAGTGTGTGTGTGGTTAGCTAAGGAAGTTCTGGAGAAAGTCGTGTCTTTGAGCCTTTCTCTAATCACCAGGTTTAAAATTTCATTCCTCATCTTCCAATCTCTATGTCCCTTACTTGCTTTAATTGTTTCCCTTTATACTATTTTCTATCCAGAATATACGTGTCATGAAAATAGATTGGTTTTGTGTCTGTTCTGTTCACCGCTGTATCTCTAATGCCTATTAGATGATTTGAGACAGTCTAGCACATGGTATTTACATGGTAGACAGATATATAATGAATGAATGAGCAAAAGAATGAATAAATACTTAAATGAATGAGTGAAAGGGCTCACAGAAGCAAGTATTCCTATTTCTTTGAAAGTAATTTCTACTGTGAAAACAATACGTAAGATTTTCTTTAGCTGAGTGTGTAAAACATTCCGAAGTAATTTAATTATGGTTTGGATTCAAATATGTGTTTTCCTAAGGAGAGAAAGAATATACTGTCGTTGAAATGATTCAGGTTCTGTGATAGTAGCAAGTCTCCCTGTATACTAACGAATTGGCATTCACATTCTATTGTTTTATTTGTTTATTTATTTATATTTTGAGGTGGAGTCTTGCTCTGTCACCCAGGCTGGCGTGCAGTGGCATGATCTTGGCTCACTGCAACCTCCGCTTCCCAGGTACAAGGGATCCTCCCACCTCAGCCTCCCGAGTAGCTGGGACTACAGGCACGCGCCACCACGCCTGGCTAATTTTTGTGTGTTTAGTAGAGATGGGGTTTCACCATATTGGCCAGGCTGGTCTGGAACTCCTGACCTCAAGTGATCGGCCCACCTCGGCCTCCCAAAGTGCTGGGATTACAGGCTTGAGCCACCGGGCCCAGCCACACATTCTACTTTGAATTACCATATAAAATACTTATAGAAAGGAAATGAACTAGTTGTGCCAATTATTGATTCCTGTTACATAGTTTTCATTGTGCAATTATAAATTAGCATTTATACATTATTCTTGTGAGCTTGATTAACATGAGTGCACTTTTGAGCAATGAGTAGATTCACCTCTGCCCTTTATATGTGACTCATTCAGGTTTTAGAGTTTTCAACGCCAAGCGTTAAACCTTAGAGCAGAGCAAATCCACCAAGCTCACAACCCTGTGAAGCCATTTCCACCTCTGCCTAAAAGAGACTTTCAACGTTATTTTAATTCATACCACATTTTAGTAAACATAAAATCTTACACTATCCTTGATTGTGATTTGAAATTTCTAAATACTTAAATGAAACACACTTTATAATTTTCTTTCTCAGACTACAAATCCGCCCCTTTATCCACCCTTTCTCCTATCACAAATGATTCTGGTTTGTCCACTTGGTTGAAAAATAACTGCTCCAAGTGTGCCTCCACTGGCACACTCGCAGGGTTGACAGTTCCCCTGGCCTTCAGCTGTGGCAGGCAGGCCTTCTTTAGAGTAGACCAGCATCTGCTTTTTCCAAACTATTATGCATTAGTCTTAGCCTCTGGAACGAGGAAGCCAGGGCAAGCTCCCTTTTCAGAGTAGGATTATATGACGACTTCTCTCATTGCCTCTTTAGTCTTCCCATGTTTTGAACCCAGAGTAAAATAACAACAAAAACACAAACACTCCCCCCTCAAAACCAGGGAAGATTTCTGTTAGTTTCGTGCACACACTGGATTGATCTACGTGGAGTTGGAGGAAAAGAAGGGAATTTGATCCTGAGGTTGAAGCCATTCCGCCACCAAGAAAAAGCTCCCCAGTCTGCCTTCAGCCCACAGACATACCAGACAGTTCATCAGCACAGTAAAACCTAGACTGGCATCTCTTCCTAAGGCTCACAGCTACCCAGGCTTTAATTTTTTGTAGCTGTCCTCAGGTTATAACATCCCAGGAGCCTTAATTATAATGATAATTATAATCACAGCAAAAAACACACAAAATTTAGAGGACTTTACCAAGAGGTGCTCAGGGAAAGATTTTGTTTGTCAGCTGATGGAGTCTCTGTTGTAGGAAACTTTTCTGTTTTTTATTTCCCCTAGGTGATGGCACTTTCCTCTCGATCCTGAATCATCTGTTCATCATCTATTTACTTTATTCCTCATCCCCCTGGATCTACTTTTTCAAACATAATGTGCATAGGAATCACCTGGGGATCTTGTTAAACTGTAGATTCTGATTTAGAGGGAACCTGACATTCCACATTTCCAACAAGCTTCCCAGTAATGGCAGTGCCGCTGTACATGGACCACACTTCGTGTAGCAAAGCTCTCTTGCTATTCAATTGAACGTCCTGCAACGAAGGAAGCGCTCTATAATCTGCTCCGTCCAATATCGTAGCCACTAGCCACATGTGCCTATGGAGCACTTGATATGTGGCTAGTGTGACTAAGGAACTGAATTTTAAATTCAATTCAATTTTACTTAATTTAAATTTAAATAGCTGCATGTGGCTAGCGGGAACTGTGTTGGATACCTCACTCTGGAGTGGGAACAAACCAGCAAACTTTTTATGTAAAAGGCCAAATAGTAAATATTTTAGGCTTTGCGGCCACACGGACTCTGCTACGAGTACCCACCCTGCCACTGCAACATGGAGAAAAAATCATAGACAATACATAAACAAATGAACATGGCTGTGTTCCACTAAAACTTAATTGGCAAAAGCAGGTAGTGGGCTGGTTTTGGCTTGTAGACTGTGGTTTGCAGACCTCTGCTCTGGAGTATAATTCAGTGGTATTAAAAGAAATATTTAAAAAATAACATATAGCGTATTCCTGAGACTAAAATAAATGCCTTTCTTTACATTTATATTTGAACTGCATAAAACATGCTTTTAATCCATACAAATTCCATAAGCAAATTGTCATTTAAAAATTGAAACCCAATGTTCTGTGTTATTGTATAAAATTATTGCCCATGAGTGTTTATTACTGTTAGTCTATTAGATTGTCGTTCTGCACATATGTGGGTGAGCACACACACACACACACACACACACACACACACACACGGTTTTGCATGTGGTTTTGGTCTTGAAATCTTTATTGCACTACCATCTACAATGTGCTCAAGCTCTGATTATTATGCAGTAAATATTTTGCAGTAAATATTTTTGAGATACTAACCTCTGAATTTGATGGTTGAGGCAGTGGAGTTATTTTCTCTTAGTATATGTACTGTATAAATATGAGAGAGATGTGTGTAATCAATTCCTGTTAATCTATCTGCATTCCTTTCTGTTGTTTTTCACAAAAGCTACCAGGAATATTTTTATATGTGTTCTTTTTAAGTTAGCTACATTTTTCCAGTTATGCTATCTATCTTGAAATAATCAATGGCATGCTGGGACATTGTTAGTTTACATCATTAACCATGAGAAACAGTAAGGAGTTATGCAGAAATCCCTCACTGTGCTAAGCCCCCAATTTTTTTTTAAAGGAGCAATCTAAAGATAGTTACATATTATAGATGCAAACAATTTCACATTTTGTATTAACACAATCTGTGTTCAAAAACCATTATGGTGCCAGTTTAATAAGCCATCACACTGAAATGGCTGTAAATATGCTTGGTAAAGATGATAAATATTAAGAGGGCACTGGTCAGAAGTCATCCCTATGGTCTAGTAAGGGACAATTGAGAACAATGTTATAATCAGAACGGCTTTGGAACTTCACATTATGGGATCCTCCAAAGAAATAGCCATTATCTACCCATCACCCTTAAAGGCAACCAATGGTCCAAGTCACAGTTTCCTAAAAAGATGCAGTGAATTTGTGTTCAGGTGGAGCTAATATTGATATCCGAGGTATATACATTCTAATGGAGGCAACGAAGTAGCAGGCACTTGGGCAAAGATACTTGCATTCAAGTGAGTTACAGCGTCATGGTTAACCTGACAGAAAAAGGGTAGGGAAGTTGTGGGGCAGCAATCAAGTCAGTGATTTGTTGCCTGAGGACCAAGGGAAGAGGACATAGGCCTTCTAAGAGTCCAATTTTTGTTTGCTATGGCTCAAAACTTTTCCAGTGAGAAAGTATATATTATTAGAAACTAGGCATGTAATGTGGGCTATATATGATAAAGACCACATAAAAGTAAGGACATGGGTACTTACACCTCTAACCTTGGTATCTTGGATCCTGGAGTTAGGGCACAGAACTTCTCTAGTCCCCAGTTCCTTATGGGGATGGAGCTTCCAATATCTTCCCAGCCTGGAGGTAAGGCAATAAGGCAGGGGAAAGTAGGGTTTCCAAACCAGAGATGAGAACTTTTGGGTTCTTTTACATTGCAAGTTCTTGTACGAATTTAAAGCTCAGAACAAGTTGTTAGCATTCTCTATCCCTCCTTCTTTTTGCTTTCCTGTGACCTTTGCTCTCTTGTAGTACTTTGTATGCACCTGTACTATCACATCACAGTGCACATGCAGTCTTGAAATTGACTTTATGTATTTTTCTCCCTCACTTGACTGTGAACTTCTTGAAGCTAAGGACTATGTTGTCCATCTCTGTATCCTCCGTGCCTAGCACAGTGTCTGACATAAGGCACATACCAATACACAGAAAAAGTTTGAACTGAATATCCAAAACCAATTATAATTATTTGAAAATAATTTTATTATAAAGGTTAGCCATTTAATTGAAGAACATTTTTTAATGCATCAAATAGGAATATGATTTTTTTTTACAAATCTGAAATTATATTCCACACAGAATATTTCCGCTTGCTTTTTTACTTACATGAGTAATTAATTCTGTTATAACTCTACAAATTGTTTTTTCTAACTGCTATGATAAAGATATTGGTGCTTATCAAGCATTCCATTTTGCCCTCTGCATTTCTCATCTCCTTTGCAGCTAGATAGAGCTCCATGATTAATTCTTGCCAATGGGCATAGGCAGAAAGGACAAAAGTCATTTCTGGGCCAAAGCTAGCATGTATCCCCACCAATTTATTTCTTTTCCTGCTAAGTGACTAGGGACATTCTATGATGGATTTTCCATCAGCTTCTGTCTCTGAATGGCCATGTGGAGCTATGACTTCTGCCACTCCCTGTTGGACAGGGAGCACAAGTGAGAAATCACATCTTTGTTTTCATAAGCCACTGGGATTTCTAGGTTAATTTGTTATGGCAGCATGCCCTATTCTCAATAATACAGGTACATAGAATACTATTGTATGTATAATACCCTGTATTTACAATTTCCTATTATATGATATTTTAATTGTTTTTACTATTTTACTAGTATAAGCAATGCTCTGATGGCACTTATTAATATGTAATATTTGCAGAAATTAATGATGATTTTCTTAAGATAAATTCTCAGAGATAAAATTATGGAGTAAAATAATTTGGAGATTGTAAAAGATTTACTATATGTGTCCAAATTGACCTCCAGAAAGGTAATGCCAATTTATAGTGCCATTATCAGTACATATGAGTGCTAGTTTTGCCATGCCTCGCCAAACTGGGTATTTTTGTTCTTTAGAATAATTGCAAATTTAATAGTTAAAAACTATTTTGGCTTCAAATCAGATTCATTTTAGTAGCAACATGACCTTAATTGTGGCAGATTTTTACTGAAGCTGTTTCCTAATGGCTCTTGGTATAGAGCTTAAGTAAATTGAAGATGAAGGTAGAACCTATTCAGTACAAAAACTTTTGGAAATACAGTAGAGACGAATTTGTCAATGTATCTGGATGTCTCAAGGACGTATGTTAAGGCAACAATGAAGTGATTGAATAATTGCATTTTTTTTCCAGAATTTTTTTTCCTTTGCTCTATCTAGACATTTATTGCTGTACTATGAGAAAAAATATGTATATGATGGCTGATTTCCTGAAACACTTTACAGATCCTAGGAGAGCTCATTGCTGTAGTCTTTGTTCATTAAAAACTAAAAAAAAAAAAAAAAAATCTGACTCCTTCCTGCATCATTCCACCCCAAGGATTTAAGGAATAATACATCTTAATATAGTAGAGAGTCCAAAAATGAATATATTCCTATTGAAAGGCTGAGGTCACAGTAGAACTGTGTCCTGAGTGCCTGGCACATAGTAAGTCTTCAAAGTGCTTAGAGAAACAAAGGGAGGAAGAAAAGAAGGAAGAAAGAAAGGAAGAGAAGAAAAGTACTATGTCACATATTTGGAACAAGAAGGGAATGGAGACATGACTCTATATAATCCTTTTATTTGAAATTTAACTCAAATAAATTAAGTGTGGTCTTCATGGTTCCAAGCTCATAGGTAGGAAGTAGTTGGAGTGGGATACAAGCCCAGATCTTTTATTCCCATCTAGTGTTTCTATTGCATTGAGTAGCTTGTTGTTATTTCTCTGCCACCTAAGTAAATTTGGATGAGAAGCAATCACTCAATAGTTATTGAGCACCTACATACTGGACTCTGGTAGATGCTTTGAGCCCATAGGGGTCTCATGATCCAGCAAGGGAGACTGATATGAAATCAAATAAGATCTCTGATAGAGGTCCATGAAGGATGGTGTTAAAAAGGGCAAATGCGTAAAGAAGCATTCAAATTGGGGCATTAGGGAAACTTTCTTTGTGGATCTAGTTTTGTGTTGAGTTTCCAAAGATTAGTAAGATTTTAATTGCAAGAGGAGGAGAGAAGAGATACTTTTAAAGTAAGAAAATGCTTAATATAAACAAAACATTTGAAAAGAATGCACATGGCAAACAAAACATTCTGTTTTAAGGAGGCAGTAGAGCTCAGAGGCTAAGAGCTAGGTTTGACTGATAACTATGTGACTTATTAATTTTGTGACTTTGTAATTTGATTGAAGTAGTCAGTCCAGTCTGAAAGAACATTTTGACTTTCCCCCAATATACTCAATTGTGGTTTCACATTGTAGAAATAGTCTTATTCCTTTAAATAGATACAAGTTTAAAAGAAATTTTCTGCCCGAAATACGATTACCCTAAAGCAATGATTTGTGGCAAATTTTCTATGCTTCTTCTCTTAGAGAAATTGATTGTGTCCAAATCTAATCCATTTATTGATAAGGCAATTTTTTACACGTAAAAAGTTTTCAGTACATTAACTGAAAAAAATCCCAATAGAATAGATTCTGAGAAAGCATGTGTAATTTTCTTTAAATTATGTCAAAATTGTCTCTAATTCTAGCAGATCATAAGAAGAGAAAATGTGTGTGTGTGTGTTTACATTTAGGAAGCTGAATAAAATATGTTTAAATGTTAGATTGGAACTCAATCTTAAAAATTTAATGATGTTTTTCTTTATAGTCATGCAGAAGGCACTGGGGCAATACTAACTGTTATGGTTAATTTTATGTATCAACTGGACTGGGCCACAGGATATCCAGATATTTGGTCAAACATTATTCTGGGTGTTTTCTGTGAGGTTGGTTTTGGATGCAATTAACATACAAATCTGTAGACTGAATAAAATAGTAGTGTCTCTGTCCCTCCTTAGTGTCTGTGGCCTGAAAGGAAGAAGAAGACTGACTTTCCACCAAGTAAAAGAGAATTCTTTCTGCCTGATGGCCTTTGAACTGGGAAATCGGATTTTTTTTTTCCCTGCCTTTGGACTAGAATTGAAACACTTGGCTCTTCCAGGATTTCAAGCCTGTGAGCCTTCAGACTAGAACTTACACCATCAGCTCTCCTTTGGACTCAGACTAGAAATACACCATTGGAAGTCCTGGGTCTTCAGCTTGCCAACTCACTCTGCAGACCTTGGGAAATGTCAGCATCAGTAATCATGTGAGCCAATTCCTTATCATCAATCTCTCTCTATCCATAACTATATATCTATGTATCTATATCTATCTATATATTTTCTTTTCTCCTGTTAGTTCTGTTTCTCTGGAGAACCCTGACTAATGCAGTATATTTCTTCATTTATTATTAATATGAAGAAAAATATTTTCTCCCAAGCTCATGTTTTTAACCAGAACATGTGCCTATAAAACGAAACAGCTAAATATAGGAAGCCTAGATACCCAAACTTTCATTAACTTTTACCTCTTTAATAATGTTTTTTATGGAGGACTACACATGTTCTAGAATTATTTATTTGCAACTTCCTAGTAGGTATTGCAGAACAGATGCTCTGTCTACCTTGAATCCATGACCTGGGTTTAAATCCCAGATCTGCTGATGATATGCTATGAGATCCTGGACAAGCCTCTTTGAATAGACTCACAGTAGTTCCCACACGTTTAAAAATGGAGATTTAAAAATTGTACCCCTGCAGAGTTATTGGGAAGATGAGGTAAATCGATGAAGATACAGTCGGCACTGATAGTACCTGGCCTACCTCCAAGTTTCTGGTGCTTTGGAACATTCCGAAGATTGCCCTTGGGCTGTGAAACTGACATGCCAGTTTGAAGAACTAGAGGTGCCTGGGAGTTTTATCTCCTCTGCTGGGGGCAGCCTGAAGGCAAGGACTGATTGATGCCTGAGGACAAAAGCCCAGCTTCTTTGCCAGAGGTGGAATAAACTCCAATGTAATTTATTGTCTAGTGTTTCCCTTGGGAGCAGGCTGAGGCTGAGACTTCACCTGAAATTGCACCCTTGTGGTGCTTCTTTTCCTTTCCTGTCCTGCTTCCTTCTCTACCTTACTCTTTTCTCCTGGGAGCCCTTCTTTAATACATCACATGTATTCAAATCCTTGACTCAGAGTCAGCTTCTGAGAGAACCTGACCTAGGACAGTCTGTGAGTTAAAGTGCTTTGAAAACTATAAATAGGGGGACCATATGTCCTGATTTGCCTGTGATAGTCCTGCTATATGCCTGTCATCCTGGTATACTTACTAATATCACCTCCTTTCACAAGGAAAAAGATAAATTTTATGGTTACCTTTAGTATAAAGCACTCCAGAGATGCTTGAAAAATAGGAAGTTAAAATAATGATAATGATTAAACTCAAACAACTAATTCACCTAATTTCTTCTCAGTGAAGTGTTTGGCTAAATTGCCATCATCATTTCAAGACGAGTACTGTGACTTTTCTAAAATAACATTCAGAACATGACGTGCTTTTTATTACCTATAGGATGGATATGAGAATATGCGTTCAAAGTTAATATTGGTAAAATTACTTAATAGCAAAATTACTTAAAGACTTTAAAAAATAGCACAGATTCCAATGAATCATCACTGAAGCTATATATTCTGTGTACAATGAAACCTATGTAAAAGAAAAAAGTCATCAGCAACAACATAGCTATGCTATTTTTTTTTTTTTTCTATTCTCAACACTCTCAAGTTGAACTTATCAGTAGTTCTTCTGATGCTTTAAAGCCTTGGGCTATTCCCACAAGAGAATACAAAGTCCATTTTTGAGGCAGGCCAAGGTCTGGAGTCTCTGTGAATGTTTGTTTTGCCAGCTGGCGAGGCTGAATTGGCAACTGAGATTTTAACAGTGTTCAAGATAGGCTTTTATTAGTTGGGAAATATGAGCGGCTTTTATTAGTTGGGAAAATTTTGAGATCTTTATTAGTTGGGAAATATGATCGGCTTTTATTAGTTGGGAAAATTTTGAGACCTATCAATGCGCAAGGCAAAGGAATTCTTCCTGTACAATGAATATGGCCACATCAGGTGGCAAATAGGTTTAACTGCTGCCAGAAGTGTGTGTGTTTCCAGGAAATATAAATGATTCGTAGTCCTCAAGCAATTGAGGAATGAGTTTAGAAATCACAATTCTGCCTTGACCCAGCCAATGGCAAAGAGACACATTTTCTGAAACTGATACTTCAAATTCTATCTTGTGAGCATGTATTTATGCTTATCCATATTTGATTTGTATATACACAGTAGCCCATCCATTATGTTTCCAGTTTCAGGCCTTCTGAAAATAATATTCATGTGTACCTAAGTTGATATATCAACATTTTCCCACTTGATGGACCGAGTCAAGGGTAAATTGTGATTCTTTCAAATTGTTATAAAGATCTAGGGTAGGCTGATTAGTAGAATTTCCTGTCATTTAACCATGATATTCTAAATTACATTAAGGCAGATTACCTAAGTGTCTTTACTATAATACAGAAATTTGTGCTAAGTATTTTTAAGAAAACTATTGCAATTAAGTATGGAAAAGAAGCCTTATTATGTCCTCTCTAGTGATTATCAGCCTCAATATAGTTCACATCGTGACTTACTTATGTGGTATTTACTCATTCAAAAGGTCCTTCAACATTTATGTAATGATCACATACTATGACATGGGCAATAAGCTGGGGCTATAGCAGTGACTGTGACAGACACAGTTCCTGTGCTTATGGAGCTCAGTCAACAAAATATGTCCAAAAAAGCTTTTGCCCTGTGATTATGCTTGGTTGAAGTGTGCATGTGTGTGTGTGTCTGTGTGTGTGTATTACATTTAGGGAAGTTATTTTCGATTAAAATTATGATCAGACCAACTTATGAAATTATAATTGCACAATATTTTCTCTTGTGCAGAGAATATTAATAAGTCCTGGCCCCAGGGTGGTGTTCTGATAGAAGAGCTAGTGTTTTATTCACTGCAAACACGCTTGCTTTTAGCCTCACATCTCCAGTGTAGACTATGTTAGTAAGAAATTTAAAAACATTGGCATCATGAGCTGAGACAATGCTCATCTTACAAGTAAAGCTCTTCCTTCTCAATCTATGTGGAAGGCACTTGAATTCCAAAACACTGGAATAAAAAATTATCAGCCTGATTATTAAATCAATCCCTGATTGGATAGTGAAAAAATATTATTGTTACAGTTACCAGACGATGTTACAATTGGAAGAACCTGCGTAAAGTGTGCACAATGCCTCTCTGTATTCTCTATTTTTTTTTTTTGAGATGGAATCTCGCTCTGTTGCCCAGGCTTCAATGCAGTGGCGTGATCTTGGCTCACTGCAAACTCCACCTCCTGGGTTCAAGTGATTCTCCTGCCTCAGCCTCCCATCTAGCTGGGATTACAGGTGCGTGCCACTATGCCTGGCTAATTTTTTGTATTTTTAGTAGAGACGGGGTTTCACCATGTTAGCCAGGCTGGTCTTGAACTCCTGACCTCAAGTATTCCGCCCACCTTGGCCTCCCAAAGTTCTGGGATTACAGGCCTGAGCCACCGCACCCAGACTCTCTCTGTATCTTCCTTATAACCATATATGAATAAACAATCGTCACACAATAAAAAGTATATAAGCTAGTAACTGGAGTGAAAAGGTCTCATCATTTGTTCCCTCAAAGCTACATCCTATTTTTGCAGATGACAGCATGTAAGAACAATAGCGATGAGTACAATTTTTTTCAGCAGTTTGTATATAAAAGCCATGATTATCAGGACATATAACTCAAGAGCTATACTTGTAGTATACGAAATAATAGCTTTATTTTAAATGGAAACATATTTCTTAAGAGCATATTCTTTGAAACCACAAATGCCACGTAACTCATTTGGTTACACTCTAGAGACTGAGATCGCGAATTTACTCCTTGCTTACTTTATATTTATACTAATTCCTGACCACAGATCCCCCATCCTCCCTCCTTCTTTGTCAGTTGTCTCACAAATGTGTGCTTTTAATCATGAGAAAATGAGTAGGACAATAAGGAAGGAGCAGAGCTTCAAACCTTGGAGTATCTGGAGTGTTGCCTTTATTTGTGTAGAACAATTCTACTAAAAGAAATCCTTGAACAGAAACTTAGTGGTTATACCTGCAATATTGTCATCAGAGAACAGAACTGAGATTTCTGCTTCTAAAAGGGTATCTATAAACTGGTATTTCCTTAGTCTCCCAAGTGAAACAGCCATAAAACGCAAGAGAATCAGGTGATCCAGTACAAAAGAGACATTAAGTAAAGGTTTGCTGAGTTAATTATTGTTACATAAAAGACTAGGTAGAAAAGAATCAGCCATTCTAGTAAATAAGCTTGGTGGAGCTTATATTTCAGTGAATTGAGATAAACAATATGCAAGTTAATGAATAAACTAGATAGTATCAGATAATAAAATGAATGATGGCATTGACAGTAGCTACTTTAGATTTTTAGGGAAATTTCTCTCAGAAAGTACCTGAGATACTTACTCAGATACTTTAAATTATGTGAAAATAGTATCATTTAGCAGAAGTATCATTTAGCAGAAACCTAAATGGTGAAAAGGGAAAAAGCCATGTGAAAATAATGGGGAAAGAAAACTACAGGCATGGGAAATAGAAACTTCAAGTCCTTAGGACCAGAATGTGCTTAAGTAGTTTGAGAAATACCAAGACAATGGGGCTGTGGCACATTAAGCAAGAGGTAGTATAGCACCAGGTGATGCGGGACTTTGTAGTCTCTGGTGAGGAGTCTGGCTTTTATTCTGAAGTCAATGAAAAGCCATTGGTAAGTTATAAATAGAAAGATAACATCATCTGAATCGGCTTTTCTGTTAGGGATTGGAACACCTGTATGCATTTTCTTCATTGTTGAGGCTGCCAACTTCTCTTTGCTACCAGACACCAAAACCATGAAAGATGGATATTCCCTACTCTTATGTGGGTAGTAGGCAGACACATTTAACAATATGGTTTCTATGAGGGTATGGTATATTGGACAGACCTGACTTTGAGTTCTGGCTCTGCTATTTCCTAGCTGTGGAACCTTGGGAAAGCTACTTGACATTTCTGATTCTTCCGATTTTCCTCATCTCTAAAATGGAAATAATAATAACGTAGTTATTTTCTTGTAGTTGCTGTGAGGATTAAACAAATTAATGCATGAAAAGTGTTTAATAATATTCCTGAACATATTAGGTGTTCCATAAATGTTAATTATGTGATTTCTTTTGCAGATTATGGTATATAAACAAAAAGGTACCAAATGTATATGTAGTTAATATTCACTTGAAGCAGTAGTTGGGATGTATATGTGTGTGAGAGGGAGGGAGAGAGAGAGAGATTGAGAGAGAGAGAGAGTAAGTATGTGTACTTGGGTTAAAAGCCATGCTTCACCAATTAGGAGCTCTAGGACCTTGGATGAGTTATTGACCCTCTGTCTACTTCAATTTTCCCACCTATAAAATAAGGTGATAATAGTGTCCTCCTACATTAGTTAGGATTAATTATGTTTGGCTTCACAAAACAGAAAATAAAAAATAATGGTGGTATTAAAAAAGAAGTTTATCTCTCATGTGAAAGAAGTCTAGAGGCAGGAATTCCAGGAATAGCGTGGCATTTTTAAGATTAATAGGGACTCTGGGCCGGGCGTGGTGTCTCACGCCTGTAATCCCACCACTCTGGGAGTCCGAGGCAGGTGGATCACCTGAGGTCAGGAGTTCGAGACCATCCTGACCAATATGGTGAAACCCTGTCTTTAGTAAAAATACAAAAATTAGCCAGGTATGGTGGCACGTGCCTGTAATCCCAGCTACTCGGGAGGCTGAGACAGGAGAATCATTTGAACCTAGGAGGCAGAGTTTGCAGCGAGCTGAGATTGCGCCACTGCACTCCAGCCTGGGCAACAGAGCGAGACTCCATCTGGAAAGAAAAAGATAAATAAAATAAGATTACCAGGGACTCTGTCCCCTTCTGTCTTTATTCTCCACCACATTAGCACTTGGGCTTCCATCTTCATGTCACCTTATGGTCCAAGAAATTTGCTGAGGTTCCAGACACTTGGACTACATTCCACGCAGCATGGAGAAAAAATGGTAGGAAGGCAAAAAGGGCTCATCTCTGTTTTGAGACAGTCTTCTTTAATAAGTCTGTCTTGAGGTCTGACATAATGATAATACTTTCAGTTATGTCTAATTGATCAGAACTTAGCATCAACCATGTTGCTGCATGGGAGGCTAAAGAATGTTTAGTTGTTCACATTGCAACCTCAAATAAAGGTATTGCTTCTCTTTAAGAAGCAAAAAATAAGAATGAACATTTGACAGGCAGCAAGCAGGCATGGCCACACCTCCAAAAAGGATTGTTTTTAAAGTTACATGAGGTAATGCAATAGTCCCGCCTTATCCATGTCTTCACTTTCCATGGTTTGAGTTATCCTGTTGTCAAACCAAGGTATGAGAATATTAAGTAGAAAATTCCAGGAACAAACAATGAATGAGTTTTACATTGCCTGCTGTTTTGAGTTGTGCGATGAAATCTCATGCCATCCCACTCCATCTCAACCTGGACATGAATTCTATCTGAGTCCAGTATATCTGCGCTGAAGACACTTCTCACTCATTAGTCACTTAGTAGTCATGTCAGCAATGAGATCCACTGCTGTAGTATCACAGAGCTTGTGTTCAAGTCACCCTTATTTCACTTAATAATGGCCTCAAAGCACAAGAGGAATGATGCTGGCAATTCGAATATGCCACAGAGCGTCTGTCAAGTGCTTCTTTTAATTGAAAAGGTGACATTTCTCAACTTAGTAAGGAAACAAAATTGTATGCTGAGGTTGCTAAGACCTATGGTAAGAATGAATCTTCTGTCCATGACATTGTGAAGAAGGAAAAAGTAATTTGTGCTGGTTTGGCTGACACATCTCAAACTGCAAAAGTTAGAGCATGGAGTATGATAATTGGTATTATAATATATTGTTATTGTTGTTCTGTTTTATTAATTATTGTGGCTATTCTTTCCTTTTTTTTTTTTTTTTTTTTTGAGACTGAGTCTCTTTGTCACCCAGGCTGGAGTGCAGTGGTGTGATCTCAGCTCATTGCAACCTCCACCTCCCTGGTTCACGTGATTCTCCTGCCTCAGCCTCCCAAGTTGCTGGGACTACAGGTGTGTGCCACCACATCCAGTTAATTTTTGTAGTTTTAGTAGAGATGGAGTTTCACTGTGTTGGCCAGGCTGGTCTCGAACTCCTGACCTCAGGTGATCCACCCACCTCGGCGTCCCAAAGTGCTGGGATTACAGACATGAGCCACTGCACCTGGCCTATTGTGGCTATTCTCTTACTGTACCTAATTTGTAAATTAAACTTTCCCATAGGTATGTATGGATAGAAAGAACAAAAAAAACCATTGTATATACAGGTTTCAGTACTATCTGCCATTTCAGGTATCCACTGGGGGTCTTGAAATATATCAGAACTACTGTATAATCAAAGCTGTTAGTTTAGTTCCTGACAGATGGTAAGTGCTTAATAAAGGGGATGGAATGGATTTTTTGCCAAGAAACACTTCCACTAAAAGCACTTAGATGAATAAAAGAACTATAAATGCTGTACTGTTTACAGAAAGACACTGCTCATCTTAAACGGTGCCACATTTTCACTGGATTTGGGTGGCCTTAAAAGGCTTCAGTTCAAAATCTCTGTAGCTTCATCCTTAATAAACTGCCCTTGGATTAATTGTGACAGTCTTTCTTCCTAAAGAGCCAGGTTGCTTTTTACCTCTAGTAGACTATAGTACTGGCAAAAACAGGAGAGCAGCAAGTCCTGACCCCCAAGTTCAACTGATATTTTAGATCTCTTATTCTTGCTAACTTTACTTGGAGTCAGCAACAATTGAGGTAACTGGCTACTTTTCAATAGATAATCTTTTAGAAGAATAAGGAAATAAAAACAAGGGTACAGAATCCTGGATTCCAGCAGGCATGATGAGCTAATAAGAATCTGTCACTTCTATTCATTTTGACAGGATTAACTTAACTGTTTCTAGAGCTGCCTCACTAGCATTGTTCATTTTAAGCAGGCACATAAATTAAAGGCACCATTAATATTGTGATTAAAAAGTAAGTTCTTGGAACTATATCCTGACTAAATGATTTATCATGAAGCCATTAGCTATTTCTTAATTTCATTAATGACAAAAGAGAAATGATGTCCCCAGACAAATACAGTGACTATAATATGACCTCATAGGCATATAGAGGTACCCATATTCCTTGTGTCTTGATTTGAATAAATAGCAAAGAGAAAAGAAAGTTTTATTTGTAAATTGATTCATGTCCAGTCACTATTCCTAACCACATTAATGGGTGGCCTAGTCTAATTCAAATTCTCTTTTAAATATGTTGGATGACTCATCTCTCTTCTGAATTATGAGTTTGCCTCTTGAGACTTCTCTTTATACAATACACAGTTGTCAGATTCAGGAGTAGGATATCATAAATAAGCACCTCTTTTTGTCAGGTTTGCTGGGGCAGAAATACACCATAAATATATTTTGCATGATTTTGAGCCATAGAAAAAAACATGATCCAGCCCAAAGTTGATTACATTTTAAGTATCTGAAGCATCTAATTTAGATGAAATGAGACAGTTATTGTCAAGGATTACATATCACCCGTCTATTACATGAAAGTATCTAGAAACTTGAAAGATACGTTTTGAAGGAGTCCAAGTGTCCTCCATTCTCCTGCAAGTGCAAAGACCCTTCCAAATATCTTCAATTTTTGTTTTTACATTTGATTTGATTTGTTGTGGTGATTTCCTGGAGCCAAATGAATGCTCAAATCCAGGTTTCTTTTTTTTTTTTCCTTTTTCTTTTTCTTTTTTTTTTTTTTTTTTGAGACGGAGTCTCGCTCTGTCGTCCAGGCTGGAGTGCAGTGGCGCGATCTTGGCTCACTGCTGCAACCTCCACCTCCCAGGTTCAAGCAATTCTCCTGCCTCAGCCTCCTGAGTAGCTGGGATTACAGGCGCCCACCACCACGCCCAGCTAATTTTTGTATTTTCGGTAGAGACGGGGTTTCACCATGTTGGTCAGGCTGGTCTTGAACTCCTGACCTCGTGATCCACCTGCCTTGGCCTCCCAAAGTGCTGGGATTACAGGCGTGAGCCACCGCACCCGGCCAAATCCAGGTTTCTTTTTAAGCTTCTCTACTGTCTGTTCCTTCCCACTCTTCCTCACTCCTGGTCTCCATCGCAAGCGAATGAATGCAGGTATTCTCTTGAGTCAAACAGTTAAAATATTCACTAAGCACATTTCTAAAGAAAAAAACTCTTCAGTAGTGATATTTTATATGCTTAAGAGAGAGTTGTTTCAAGTACCCTGAAGCACAGTAGAAGCTAGAATTTGGAAATCCTAGTTGCTGGATTAAAAAGCTATTGTGAGGCCTACTGTGAAACAGGAGGACTGGGTTTGTTGGGTTGAGGAGTGAGTTAAGCCTAGATGTGAAACAGGAGGATTTTGGGTTTGTCGGGTTGAGGAGAGAGCTAAGCCTAGATGGGGTAACTTCCCGGAAAAGGTGTGCCCAGTGGTTGGCTTCCTCTGGCCCTCATCCACCTGTAGTTGATCTTTCTCTCCAGTTTTGCCCTCATTCTGCCTCCTACAGAAAGGAAAGAAAAAAATGTGCACAACCAATTTTTGAGCACATACTATGTGCCAGGACTTTTGCATCTTTATTTATTCCTTAGAGTTAACTCTGGGAAGTGAGACTAATCTTAACTAACCCCAATGCTGACCATCGTATGTTTCATTTCAATTTGTTAACTTTCTCTATTCTTCAGGTGTTTCTGTCCTCATTCCCTCTGGTTGTCTACTTCTTCTTGGATCTGGGTCTCTGTTTGTTGCTCTATTCTTGTAATGTGTCAATGCTCCCTACTGATCTGTTTGCTATAGGATCATGGTGACCAGAAATAAACAAGCTTCAGCTACTTACACCTAGCTAGTCAGTATAACAATAATCTAATGTAGTGGTTTTTATTTTCATTTTCCCATTTACACAGCAGTATGTAGGTGTGAATTAGCCAGAGCAGGGAGTAGCACCATGCTGTTGGACAGGTCATTTGGGGGCAATCTTACAACTGGTTAGAGAGAAGAGACATGCCTAGGAGGCTGAAGTGAAAAACATGTGAAAGGGAAGACAAAATAATAACTGGAAAAGACTTGTAACCAATGACTATTGAGGAGCCAGAGCTTGGCAGATGAGCTGGAAGAAATGGCTTTATCTGTGGTCTCATGCATAGGGCAATGGTATTTAAGAATGTAGCCAAAGGTTGAGAGATTGTCCAGTTCTGCACTCCAGTCAATGAATTACTACTGACAGACATTGTTTTATGTTAATTTAATGTCTGAATATTTCTCAGTGTCAGGAATGCTTGCAATAATGTACAGCATGGGAACAAATGCTAGTTTGTTTAATACAAAAGACATAGGCTATAGTTTGGCTGTTTGTCCCCCTAAATCTCATGTTGAAATTTCATCCTCAGTGTTGGAGGTGGGGCCTGATGGGAGGTATTTGGGTAATGGGAAGTGTTTGCGTCATTAGTCAAGGATTCTAATGGGATCCTTTATGAATAGATTAATGCTCTGGTGGGGGAAGAGTCGTGAGTGAGTTCTCTCTTTATTAGTTCCTGTAAGAGCTGGTTGGCTGGTTGTTAAAAAGAGCCTGGCGCCTCCCCATATCTCTCCTGCTTCCTCTCTCACCATGTGTTGTCCACACATTCTGCTCCCTTTGCCTTCCACCATGATTGGAAGCTGCCTGACACTCTCACTAGAAGCAGATGCTGGCACTATGTTTCTTGTACAGCCTGCAGAACTGTGAGCCAAATAAACCTCTTTATAAATTACCCAGCCTTAGGTGTTTGCTTATAACAACACAAATGGACTAAAACTACACATTTTTAAGAAAACAAGCTATTCCTAATATCCATAGTCTGGGATACATTTTATCTACATACATGAAAAGGAATATTTGAATCTGTGAAAAATTTCAATAATCCCATCTTTTATCTAGTAAGTTTGGATCAATGACTCCTAAAGCTAGAGTGATTGCTGCTTCCTGAACCATTTGCATTTTGTATTTTAAATAAATGCTACCACACTTTTTTTTTTTGTCTCCAAGAAAAGCATCTATAAAACCCTGCTATATAAAGAATTCCTAGGTTTTGCTAAGACCATTGACAAGCTGGTCAGAATAGGATCAAGGAAACAGCTAGATGTCAGTACTTGAAACCCAGATATTCACAAAGGTACTTTTTGGCCCTATCTTTAACTCATGCTGTGCTAATTCTTCTAACAAAAATCTTTTGGAAGCAGTGAAACAGTGTGTGACTGAGAGCTTGATATTAAGACTCCCAGCTTTGCTATCCACTAGAGCAGGTTACATTATCTTCTGAAGCTTTTGGTTTTCCTTGCCTGTATAATGGGGACAGTAATAGTACTAACCTATTTGTTTTTGAAATCAGTCTTAGGAATGAATCTCAGATCTGCCACATGCTATTTATTTATACTTGGGGAAGCTACTGTTTAATCTTAGTCTGCATCTTCACATGTAAAATGGGGAAATTAATAGAATAGTTGTCATAGGATTGTTGTGAGAATCCAGTGAAATGCTACATTTAAAACCTTAGCACAGAACCTGGCACAGAGAAAATATTCAATATATGGAGACTGTTCTCATTATTAATATTTAATTCCAACCCACTATATTACCACAGATAAAATATTTGTACGTGTGTTTTCTCATCTAGTATTCAATCCCCCTACCAAGTAAAAGATAAATGAGGAAAGGATTCAGATTAAAATACCCATTTTATAGATGAGGAAGCTGAAGCTCAGAGAGGTTAAGTGAGTTGCACGAAGTCCTACTAGTGACTAGCAAATGGCATGGCTGGAAAATCAACCTGTTTTCTGTCTCCAAATATTTTCACTGTTCCTACCTCTCTGTTATATGTAAAGTGCTGCCAAAAGACATGGAAAGAGGGAAGGAGAGAGAGGGAGAGACAGAGGGAGGGAGGGAGGGAGGGAGAGAGAAGACAGAGAGAGAGAAAGAAAAGAGAGAGAGAGAAGGTAGCTGCTGTCAGAGGACATCTTCTTTCATCTGCATTTCAATTATTCTTTTTTTTTTTTTCAAAACAGCATAGGACTGTATTTAGAATTTCTCCCCAAGATAATTGGTAAATTATTCATGGAGTTAATGCTTCCTGTAGTTCCCAATCATAGTTTAAGTGAATACATATTGTGTATAATACTTTTTTGTGGCCTCAGATCTATATAAAGTTCATGGTCTGTAAAGTATTTAATTAACTTACCAGAACCTGTGAGTAAGTGGTCTGTGTTCTTAGCCTCCTGCTCAATCTTTTCCACCACCTTTAGTTCTATGTCTTCAAAAGAGGAAGAGCTTCTCTTAAGCAGCATCTCTGTCTAAAAGTAGGATTTATACTGGGGACATTTCTGAATAACATTTTAGGCAACGGTGTTGCAGGCAGGTCCTGGCACCCTATGAGTTATTTTGAACAGGACTACATTTATCTGATAAAATTTGCCAAAATGTAATTCACATAGCCGTTGCTATTTGTGGTGTGGCTGCTGTGAAAGAATAGTCATTGGAATCAGGAACATGCAAACCCAAACCCAGACTCCACACCCTGTTAACTGGGTGATCATGAAAAGTTCCTTATCTTTCCAGAGCCTCAAGTTTTTCCTTCATGTAAAATATATGGCAATATCTGTCTCAAGGAGTTGTTGTGAGGCTTAAGAGACAAGTTGGATGCAGCAATGGCTTTCATGTTAAAGTATTTTAGGAGGCCTGATGGGATTTCTGGAAATTTACTTACAAGAGGGACTGAGAGGATTCCCATGGGTGAGACACCTACCTGAGGAAAGGTGGGAGGGATAGAAAATGAGACATATCACAAATTTGGTTGAGGGTCCTGAGTCTGTGCTAAAAGGAAGACAAGGAGTCTAAGGACAGCATTCACAGCCTGCCACTCAGACTGTCTCTGGACCAACTCCATGAACTCAGGTCTGAGCTTGTGACAGAGGTGACTATGAATGAATGCATAAAAACTAAAAGAATAATCTTAGATTTTGAAGACTTTGTAGAGATTTTATTATCAGTTCAGATGCTTAGCTATAAAAATAACAGAAAAAAACAACTCAACATGGCTTGGTTCCCAGTGGTTCTCAGACTGGAGCATGCATCAGCATTTCTCCAGGACTTGTTAAAACCCAGAGTGCTGGCCCCATCCACAAGAGTGTATAGAGTGGTTGTCGAGTGCAGCCTGAGAATTTGTATTTCTAACAGGGTGATGCTGATACTTATTCTTTGAGAAATACTGGCTTAAACAATAAGAAGAATGGTTATCTCACACAACAAGGCATCTCAAGGAAAGGAAGCTGCATGCTTATTTGAGAGTTCAATCATGTTTTTGAGAGCACAGATTCTTTACAACTTTCACTCTGCCATTTTCTGTGTGGTGGATTTGCCTTAGATTAGCTCTCTTCACAGATATAAGATAGATGTTGCTATAGGCATCATATCCAGGCAGAGTCCAGTGGAGGAAGAGGAGCTGTCTCTTTCTCAGTATTTCTCTTATTAGAAGAAACTTTCCAGGAAGTTCCTCAGCGCACCTCTCCTCATTGGCAGAATTGATTCATATCCTCAGTTTGAATCCAATTCTTAGCAAAGATAAGGGACCATGCTGTTAATTTAGGCACATCAGATTTTCCTCTGGAGCTGGAGAGTCTTCTCTTTCCTGAATCACATTGTTGAGGAATGGCTACTTGGACAAAATCAGGACTCTACCAGTAAGGAAAGCAGTGACAAATGCTGTTGGTTATCCAAATGATGATGCCTGCTGCAGAGATGTCAGCAATTTTGGGGTTGAGAGGAAGATACCATGGTCTATGACATCAAAATAGAAAATATTATTATTTACAGAAATTTGCAGCATCATCATTCTTCGCACCTTCATTTTACAGCAATAAACGGTGAGCTCTGGCAGATTAGCCCCTACTTTGGATATTGTCACAGGAGGCATCACTATGGGGAGCCAGTCTTACAAAATGACAATGTCTATGATAGCCCCAGGTTCCATTCGTCTGTATTTAATTTTGTTCATAACTAGGTTTAATAACTAATTGTTTATAGTTTATCAAACCACACTATTCAGAACCCTAAAGCTTTCCTCAGAAGGCCAATATTCATGTGCGTGTGTGTGTGTATGTTTATGAAAGAGACAGAAAGATAAAAAGAGAAAGAAGAAGAAGAGGAGGAGGAGGAAGAAGAAGAAGAGGGAAGAAGAAGAAGAAGAAAGAAGAGGAAGAAAGAAGAAGAAAAAGAAGAAGAAGGAAGAAGAAGAAGAAGAAGAAGAAGAAGAAGAAAAGAAAGAAAGAAAGAGAGAGAGAGAAACAGAAGGCCAGTGGTCTGCCTTACCAGCCAGCCTTAAACAGATCAGCCACTTTTTTGTGTTAATCTTATAGGTCTTTGCAATAGAATTTCCTTTGAGGAAAGAAAGGGTTCCATGGCTTAAAAAAATTGAAAATTAGTAATTTTGTTTGTCTAATATAATTCTTGACCACTTGCTGCTTCAAATTTGAAGAGAAAGAGAAGGAAGAAGAGAAAGAGAAAGAGTGAGATCTTCAGCCACTAAGAAGAGACAGGAAAATAGTTAATGGTGCCTGGACATAAATATCATTTATCCAATAGCCACAAAAATAGCCTGTCATTTTACTTATAGTCATTAGTAGATTCCAGGAATGATAATAACAGTAATAACAACCAACATTTTTTTGAACAGTAACTGCTAGGCCCTGCCCTAAAACCTTTGTAAGTAGTATCTCATGTCATTTTTGCACCATAATGATGAGACAGATTCTATTGTTAGTCCAGAGACACAAGAGGAGCTGTGAGTAAGTGTGAAAACTGGGAATACACTCCAGGGGTCAGCTTCAATAGTCCACACAGCTACTCTATTCTGCGTCTTGTTGGGAGGTATTGATATTTCCAATTTATCGATATAGCAACAAAGATTCAAAGGTTAAGAAATTTTGCTAAGGTTACACAATATGTGAGGAGCAGAACTGGATTGGGATTTTAGTTTGTCGGACTTCAGAGCACCCCCCTCCCTTCATTCATTCATTCACTCACTGAAAGAATATTTATTTAAGGTGCCAGAATCTCTCTTAGGCACAGCATATTATTTCTATTCTTAAATGAGGGTCTTAAGCCCCTTCTCTTGACTTGTCATTGGTTAGTGGGAAGGTAGAACCAAGGGCATGGTGGGAGGCAACCTTCTTCTTAAGTGTATGCACCTTGACAAGAAATTTTATCATGCAGCAGAACTGAAGTGATTCTGAAACTGCATATATACTTGTTGAGGGAGAAGTATGCCTCTCAAAAAGATTTTGACCTGTTTAATATTTTTACTGGAATAAGGATTCTTCACTTTAAAACATAATTATTCTATTTAATATCTTTATATTTATATCACTGTTTTGGAGGCTACTGCTCCAATGTGCAGAATATGAGAATTTTCCTATTGACTCTATGCTCGCATAAATAATTTAAGAGGAACAATTTCTGGAAAGTCTAAACAGCTAAAGACACTGTCTTTGATCTCCATGTGTATATGTAGTCTTAACTTACTAAGCATTTTTCAGAAAATGTCAGCACTTACTGGTGGTTCTTTGTTCCCATAGCCCCTTGAGCAATCAAGACTATGCAAACAGAAAAATGCTGTTCTTGCTCATTTCTCTCCAGAAGCACCAGGAAAGTTTGGCCTCTTCAAAGAGAACTTAGAATGTAAATGGCAATCTCCAGAACTCTTTTTTTTCCTCTTGTAATCTTCAGGATATTTGCAATTTATTGAACCATTGACATTGCTTCCTTTATACTTTTATTGTTATAATTGTTGTTGGAGAGAGAGATTAAGTAAGACATAATTTGGGATATACCTAGGTAAACTTTCACATTTGTTCAGTTTAGTGAAACTGAATTCTGCTTTGGCAGCAGCGGGCCCCTGTGGTGCAGAAGTTTGTGGAAGGAGTGTTAGAATGCTGACTTGGGTTAAGGGAGAAAACTTTTGATGACCGCAAATGGCCACTCTTACCTTACATTTAACTAGTGAACAGATTTTGTCAGCTAGTCGGAATTTGAGGGTTTGTATGAATAAAATCCAACAAGATAATGAGTGCAGAAGCGAAATATAGTTATTATTTTCATACGTAGTCTTGTTCAAATCTATGATGTCTTTATTTTGAAACTTATCAAATATGACTAAGAGTGGAATTTGGTATGGGAGACAGATTCTAAGGTGCTCCCTAACTACGCAGCCCTCCTGCTCTTCATTCCCATATAATCACACCCCATAAATATGGGTGGGACCTGTGACTTGTTTCTAGCAAATGGACTGGGGTAACATGAAGGGATTTTGCACATACAATTAAGGTCCTTAATCAGTTTTTTTTACAGTTTATTAGTCTTATTGATATGTAACAATTGTACACATTTATGAGGTGCACGTGATGTTTTGATACATGCATACAATGTGTAATGATCAAATCAATGTAATTGAGATATCCATCGCCTCAAACATTTCAAACATTTATTTTTTTGTATGTTGAGAACACACCAAATCTCTTCTAGCTATTTTGAAATATGTGATCAATTATTGATAACTATAGTCACTCTGCTGTGCTACTGAGAATTACAATTTATTCCTTCTATCTAACTGTACTTTTGTACTCATTAACCAATCTATCTTTATTCTCCTCACCTTCCTACACTTCTCAGCAGCTAGTAACCACCATTATACTCTTTTTTTTTAAATTTTATTATTATTATACTTTAAGTTTTAGGGTACATGTGCACAACGTGCAGGTTTGTTACATATATATACATGTGCCATGTTCACGTGCTGAACTCATTAAGTCGTCATTTAGCATTAGATATATCTCCTAATGCTATCCCTCCCCCTCCACCCACCCCACAACAGTCCCCAGTGTGTGATGTTCCCCTTCCTGTGTCCATGTGTTCTCATTGTTCAATTCCCACCTATGAGTGAGAACATGCGGTGTTTGGTTTTTTGTCCTTGCGATAGTTTGCTGAGAATGATGGTTTCCAACCTAAATGTCCAACAACAATAGACCGGATTAAGAAAATGTGGCACATATACACCATGGAATACTATGCAGCCATAAAAAAAGATGAGTTCATGTCCTTTGTAGGGACATGGATGAAACCACCATTATACTCTTAACCTCCGTGAGATCAACTTTTCTAGCTCTCACATATGAGTAAGAACATGAAGTATTTGTTTTTCTATGCCTGCCTTATTTTGCTTATCAGTTGGTTTTGAGTTCATAAAAAAAAAGATATTATCCTGTGTGTGCCTGGATTAATCACACAAAGGTCCTTAAAAAAGGACTGGGCCCCTCCCTAAGGTAAGAGGAACTCTCAAATGCTGGCCTTGAAAAGACAAGCTGCCATGTTATTAAAGGAATCATGGAGAGAGCCACGGGGCAAAAAACCGTAGATGGCCTTTAGGAGCTGAGTAGTGCCCCGCCTCCCACCCCAGCCCCCATTAGCCATCAGCTAGGAAGAAAATGTGGACCTTAGTCCTACAGTAATAAGGAGATGATTTTTTGCAAATAACCTGAGGGAGCTTGTAGGTGGACCATTCCCCAGTTGAGCCTGTAATAAGCCCACAGCTCGAGCTGGGACCTGGATTGCAAACTGATGAGAATCGGAAGCGCAAGATCTAGCTAAATTATGTCTATAGGATGTCTATGGAAACTGTAAGGTAATAAAAGTATTTTTAAGCCACCAAGTTATGGTTATTTTTTAGACAACAATAGAAAACCAATACACTTGACTTCAAGAGAGTAGATCCAGGATTTTCCTGGGTATTTATTCTAGGAAGATGCTTTGCTATCATGGGAAGACAAAAACTCTGGGTTAGATCACTGTGCATTATAGGGTCAGGAGTTCTATATTTACTGTTTTGAAAATAGATTGCAAATAGATATCCTCCATGTGCTGTTTTATTCCTAGCTTTGAAAACTACCCACTGTAATGCCCTTCCGTGATGGCCAGTTTGCAGTTGGCAAACAATTGGTGTTAATCAGTTTATAGTTGAAAATGAAGCTATTTACTATATTGACTCCCTAGCTCGCCCAGATATCTCAGAAGTTCTCAATTATTTCTAGGTTTAAAGAAACCGTTCTTTCTCCTTTGCTCTCTACCACCATTTCCACCAATCTTGTTCAGGCTCTCATGCCTTTCTGACTTATTTCCCGACTTCTCCTTCCTCTCTGTCCTCTGCATTCTCCTTTTATTCCACATTACAGGTTTGGCTGCAAACTGCTTCGCTGGTCTCCTTTTGCTTCCACAGCCTGCCCCAGTCTCTTTAGCCATACTTAGCTGCATACACTCTGCCTTCTTACCATTTTATGTACAGGTGGCATCTTCTGCCAGAAATTCTCTGACTACCCATCCCTCTCCTTCATCTGCAAAACAGATGAAGGACACTGCTCAACTGTTCTCTCTCATCTAGTGTTTTTGATCCTCTCCTTCCTCCTTCTCCTTTCTCCTTTTCCCTCGAAGCTCCACCCACACAAGCAGGGTTAGTCAATACTTCCTCTCTGCTCCCACCAAAGTTAGCGCTTATTCCAGTATAAGCAGTTACTATGCTAGTATTATAATTTTTCTTTTTCTATGTCAAAAATCACTGCACCTCCCACTGACAGTGAACCCACCATCAAAGGTGCAAATCTTATCTTGTTCCTGTCTGGATTCCATGTGTCCCGGCACAGTGATGAACACAACAGCAGCATTCTAAATCTGTCTATGTGATTGACTGAATAAAAAGTAAAATGTAGCATGTTTAGCTCCAAGGTGCAGCGTTGTCAAGCTGAATCCTAATAATGTGCGCAACGGACCCTGCCCCTTGAAATTCTGCAGAGCACAGGAATCACTAGAAAAATGAACAATGTACTTCACCAGATGCTTCCAGAAAGCATTATCATGTTATTCCCTGTCTGCCACCCCTGTTTTAGCAGTAAAATATATGAAATGGGAGAAATTACGATCACAAGATGAAAGAGGAATCAGTGCTTTTGATCTTATCAGATTGATTTCAGCCCTCTCCTAAACCTCAAACTCTTCCCATCTTCCAGAGACCTAAGATCCCCTGTTAGCATGGATGCGTATCTACTTATTTTATGGCTTCCCCTATGAAGTATGAATCATAACAAATTCAATTCTGCTACTGAGAAATCCAGTTGTTCTCTTTCTGTATTATTCAGGTAAGATACCATCTGAAACTGAGAGAAGCATAAGGAAGCTTACAGCTCATTATCTAGTACCAGTTACATGTGGAGCACCATGCTAGGCCCAAGGGATGTAGAAATTTACATGATATTGTCCATGACTTTAGGGAGTCTACAGGGTGATCGGCAGAGAATGAAAAATAAATTAACGTTGCCAACACAGGGTGCTAAATGCTATGGTGACTTGAAACCTGTGAGTAAATTGTAGTCCAGAGGAGCAGCATTTAACTCACACTGGGTTGGGCATTTGGGGACGGGGGTGCGGATGTCAGAAAATTGAGGCACAGAGAGGGAAAGCAGTTTGTCCAAGGTCCCACAGTTGTGGCAGCACCAACTCTCTTGATGCCCATTGTAGATTCTTTTTGGTAATCTGCATTATTACAAGAAGCTGCATATTGTGATTTCATAGCTCCTTTGGAGAACACTGGGAATTGTAACTAGGGAATTATATTCAAATAAGTTAATTACAACTATGGAGTTCCTGGCACTTGGATGCCTTAGGAATGGATACTAGTAATTCAAGCAGTATGTCAAGGAGCTGACAGCTTTAGGGCTTGACCAAATACTGGCACAAACAGCTAAAAAACAAAGCTCCAACCTTGAGCCTGAGAGGATGAAATCACAGTTTTCAGGAAACTCATCAACTCCAAAGTGGAGCCTAAAATGAAATAACAAAGAGCAATTAATGCAACTTTGCACAATACAGTTTCACTAGCCCTAACTTTCCTCTTTCTGCATTTTGAGTCTCCAGATCAACGAGCCAAGTACAGGCAGGGGGTGGGGACCAATGCCAAGGCCACAGGCTTTGGAGTAGTCAAGCCTGGATTAAAATCCTGGCTCTGACACTCACAGCTTTATTGTTTTGCGTTAGTTACTTAATCTCTCTGTGCCTTAATTTCTCCATTTCAAGCAAGTATCTAATATAACAGAAATTCCATTTCTCAGTTAACATGGCAAATTCGATAAATGGAAGAGAAAATACATTGGCTACTGGGAAGCATGGTATTTGTGAAGAATCTGCTGGTTTAGATCCAGATTTTCGGTGTCTGACCACCACTGAGATAGAACTGAGATCCAATGCAGCTCCTTCTTGTTTCATTTCTACTGGGGTTCCCACAGTAGACATTATGAGGGGGCTACACCCCAGGTCCTAGTCTGCTGACCTCATTCATCTAGAACAAAGCTGAGTGGTTGGAAGGAAAAATAAAAAGCCCTAAAACTGAGTGGCATTAAGGATAATAGCTGTCCCAGGACGTGCTGCTCCTCACAAGCCTTCACAATGCGGAGTTGAACCCAGGTCCATAGGACTAAAAAACCCAGGTTCTTAATCACTAGACTGACCCACATACTGCTGCTGGTAGTCACAGAATTAAAGAACTTTAAAAATATTTCACAGGCAAACAGTGACGAATCATTAAGAAAAGTTTCATTGCTTCAGATTTTTTATTTACCAGGGCAAGTTCATTTAAAAATGATCAAACGTTATTTAAAGAAAAAATTGGAAACAAAACAAGAAGAATACAAAGGATCTAAGCTCTAATCCTGGCTCTGTAAAAAAGTGGTCCTAGTGGCCTTGAGCAGGTTCCTTCCTTTCTCTGGGTATCAGTTTACCCATCTGTACCAAGAGAGAAATGAATAGACTTGCTCAGTTCTTCTCCACCTTTAATGTGCACATGAAATGCAAATTCTGATTCAGCATGTCTGGAGTAGGGTCTGAGATTCAGAATTGCTAAATCTCTTAGGGGATGACAATGATGTTGGTCTAGAGAACAGATTTCTTTAAGGGTCTCGATCAACTCAGATTCAACAATAAAGCCCAAGTATTACAGTAAATCCCAAATTGTTAGGCAAACAAAGAGTGACTCTTGATTTTCTTTTATTGGACAGTGAAGTTTCTCCGGCTGTAGCTTGTATTGCTCACACTTGACCCTTTGTGTCTCAAAAACATTTCAAGCCCCTGGGGTATGGATCTTGCAGACTTTGGCACGGCCCATGTTAGGCTGTCCCAGTTATAACCGTGAAAAAAGATGGAAGGGGATGGCTGACTTGGAAAGCTGACAACTCTGTGTATGATGAGTGTCCTGAATTTCCTGGGATGAACTGTGTTCTCTACTCTGCCTGTTGGCTCAAAACCCATCTTTACCTGTGGCACCACAAAGTACTGCTGGATGTATTGTCAATTGCACCACACCAACAGCCCACAGGGAGAGTTTATGGCAGGAGAAGTCAGTACCTGCTTTCCCTGTGGCAATCACATGTATTATTTTTCCACTTTCTCCATTGGCAGAGTCAGAGGGCAATATCTGGGCCGTTTCTCCAGCCTGCTTTCAGTGCAGCAGGCCATGCAGCCCTGTTCTTATCCTCCTCAGACTGTGGTTTTTCTTTCCCTGGTAAGAATCATTTTAGGTAGTTGAACTATCTACCAGGAAAATAAGAATTTTGTTCATGTAAACCTTCAATTTCTGAACTCTGAGGGCTGGGACTCGCCCTCCTCAGTGGTGGTCAGACACTGAAAATTTGGATCTAAACTAGCAGATTCTTCACCATTGTTTCAGAAAGCGTAGAATGATGTTTTAGTTGCCTTTTGCTACTGTAACGCATTACCACAAATTTTATGGCTTAAACAATATACACTTACTATCTTACAGTCCTGAAGATCAGCAGTATCATTGGGCTAAAATCAAGGTGTTAGCAGGGCCATTTTCCTTCTGGAGGCTCTAGGGGAAAATTCGTTGCTTTGCCTTTTCCAGCTTCTAGAGGCTGCTTGCATTCTTTGGCTTACAGCCTCTTCCCCCATCTTCAAAGCTTTCAATGGAGAATCAAATCCTTCTCTTATTGTATCACTCTGATTTCATCTTCTTCCTCTCTCTTCCACTTTCAAGGACACTTGTGGTTACGTTGGGCCCATCTTGAGAATAATTTTAAAAATATCCAAATCTCATGGGCTCAGATCTTTAATTTAGTCACAACTGCAAAATCTCCTTTGCCATGCAGGATAACATGTTCACAGGTTCCAGGGTTTAGAATGTGGAAATCTTTGGAGACCATTATTCACTCACATCTTCACCTTCTCAAGTTGGTCATGTGTCCCAGGCCTACACAAATCAGCAAAAATCATTCTCCTGACCACAGTGATTGGTTAAGAGTTGGACATAAGACCATAGACAGGTCAATTAGAATGAATATCAGTACTTCAGCAGGATACGATGGGGCGGAGTTGGATAGGGCAGTTACTCTCTTTAGGCCAATGGTAGTGATTCAGGGATGAAAGTTATTATGGTGAATATAATGATGCCCTTGCATCCTCACCATTTACTATGGCTCCTTCACAAATACTATGCTTTCCAGTAGCCAATGTATTTTCTCTTCCATTTATCGAATTTGCCATGTTAACTGAGGAAATGGAATTTCTGTTATATTAGTTGCTTGTTTGAAATTACCATTTACAATTAGTAAGCTGTGAAGTTGGAATTTAGGTTTGTATCCTCTAACTCTGAATCTTTCTACCACATTGACTGCACTGAACACCACACGATTAAAGCAAAAAAGGCCTACATTACATTTGACATTTGTTTAGAGAAACAATCAGGAGTGAGGTTGCAAGTGGAGAGTGTACTCTTGGTCATCTTTAAGGCAATGTTGACCTGGAGTGTCTGTTCTCCTTCCAATAATTAGGGACACTGTGCTGCATTTGTCCTGCCAAAGAATCTTGAGATATTTGGTTTAGCTTTGATCAGAAACCATTAACTATAATTTAGGCATAAGAGCCTACCATTCAGTGAGCTCCTGATTAAACCTTGTATTAGGTACATTCATCTATTATATTATACAATCTTAGCAACCTAGCCTGTATTATTGTCATAATCATCATCCTCATCATTATTGTTATCCCTCCTTCAAAGATGAGGAACACAAGGCTCAGAGGGTTTAAATCTCTTTCCCAAGCTAAGATTCAAATGCATGCGGTGTAATTGCAGAGCCTGCTTTCTTCAGAATAGTTAACCATGAATGCAGCGTTTAGAGGCACTCAGCATTGTTTCCTCAGCATTTATCACAGAGAGATAATAAATCTATATCTGATTCTGAATTTTTAAACATTTTTGCTACTTTCCACTTGTCATAATCCATTTGTTGTTTGCTTTTCTAAACAGCATAGGTCCTCTCTCATGACCAAGGTTGTCATGATTTCTTCGTGACAAAATTTGCTTCAAGGTTATTTTTCATCACTTTGAGCAGCCTTTGTATTAACAATATACTGCATCTTGCTTAATCTGTATTGACTACCTGAGTGTTTTGGAAATCCTTCGTTTGGGAGAGAGCAATTTACATAAGACAGCCCACTTTAACTTGGCTTTTTCTCTCTGTTTATCTTACCCATATGGTCTTCTCAAGTATTGATCTCATCTGTGCTGATTATTGAAGGAACTGATGTAAACTCAAGATAGCAAATGCTGCAATTCTGAGATGCAAATCCATTGTTTTCAGTGAAGGAGACTGGGACTGTTGTAGTCAGCTACCTCCTCGGCATAATCTAGATACCGGGGGATGGCCTGTTCCCATGCACCTTTGCCTTGGGCACCTGACTGCACCTCACTTTTTCCATTTAAATGTCTACCTTGAAGGAGACAATCTCTAAACTCCTTTCCAGCACTAAAATTAAAATCTTTTCATTTTAATCCTCACATTCTTCTACTGCTGTGGGCCCCAGGAATTTAGCTTGATTATAGAACAGTGGTCTGGCAAGAGGCAGCCAGAGAGCCACTCTCTGCTTGCCACCCTTAGAAAGGAGTTAGAGTGGCACATCAGTCCCTGTGGTAGCAGTTCAGTGACACCAGGGAGCAAGGAGAAACCCAATTATGGGAACCGGGGCTTACTGGGTGGGGAGATGTGTGCTTCGTGAGTGGGGTGGGGGCAGTAACTCAGGGGCCCAGAAGTCAGCACTGGGAATGAGACCAAAGTCCCCACTGAAAGAATGTGGGAAGAGATACACGTGCATTGTTTCTCCTCTGTTATAAAGACCTGTATGCAAACTGAATGGGACCAAACTGTCAGGTCCAGGCAAAAGTGAGCACAGATGAGAGAAGCTGAAAATGCCAGAGCAGGGTAAGAAGTCACATGACTTCTGCGTGAGCCACAATCAAACTGACTTTTTTTATTCTCAATGTTTGTTTCATGTTTACTTCATTATATCAATCATGGAACATCACCAGTCCATTGTCTGGTAATGTTATGGCTCTCCCCTGTGTACCGTGATTATCTTTGAACTGTTTTTGGCTCACTGGATTCTTGAATTTTATTGATTATGGTTTTTAAATTATACAAAGCTAAATTTCCTGTTAGGAGGCTATAAATTAGAGTGGTTAAGAGGCTCTGGAATCTCCAGTCCTGGATTCAAATTGCAGCCCTGCCACTTGGCTATTATGTGACAGCAGGTCACCTCACCTCACTGGGTCTCCAATTCCTCATGCATGAAATGAAGATAATAATAATACGGCAGCTCCAGGTTGTTGTATTACATAAGAAAATATGCCTAGCACATTAAAAACATTAGGGCGTGGTGGCTCATGCCTGTAATTCCAGCACTTTGGAAGACTGAGGCAGGTGGATTGCTTGAGCCGAGGAGTTTGAGATCAGCCTTCACAATATGGAAAACCCATTTCTACAAAAAGTAAAATAAAAACTAATAAATATATAAATAATTCTATCTATCCAAAAATTAGCGGAGTGTAGTAGCACACACCTGTAGTCCCAGCTACTTGGGAGGCTGAGGTGAGAGGTTTGCTTGAGCCTGGGAGGTGAAGGCTGCAGTGAGCCAACATCACACCACTGAAATCCAGCCTAGGTGACAGAGAGAGATCCTATCTCAAAATAAATAAATAAAATAAAATAGAAACTCCAGATACATGGTAGCTATCCTTATTATTGGTTTGTTTAGGATGTCTCCCACCCTAGTGTATGGCCATCTGTTTTCTGTATATGCATTTGAAATCAACTCAGTGTGTGGGTACTGATTTTTCACTTACAGTATGTGAAAACAATGATCATTTACCTTATTAGAAGATGGCATTCTTCATATGCTTTTTGAGCACCTGCCAAGGGCTAAGAGCCAAACCTTAGCTGAAGGTGATTAGAAAGCCCAGTAGGATATGCTAGAGCTGAGGGAATATGATGATCCATGTGACGATTAATCTTATGTGCCAACTTGACTGGACCATTGGATGCCCAGATATTTGGTCAAGCATTGTTCTGGATGTGTATGTGAAAGTATTTGTGGGGGAGATGAATATTTTAGTTTGTAGGCTGAGTAAAGTAGATTGTTCTCACTGACGTGGGTGGGCCTCACTCAATCTGTTGAAGATCTGAGTAGAACAAAACTCTGAGTAAGAGAGAATTCACTCTCCCTCTTCCTGACTGTCTTCGAGTTGGGATACTGGTTTCCTTCCTTCAGACTCAGATTCAGACTGGTACTTGTACCACTGACTCTCCTGCTTCTTAGACATTTGGACTCAGGCTGGAACTATGCCATGGAATCTCTTGGGTCCCCAGCTTGCCAACTGTAGAACTCAGGACTTCTCAGCCTCCACAATCACACAGTCTCATAATCAATCAATCAATCTTTCTGTCTGTATGTATGGATATCTCTATCTCTATCTATATAGGTATATCTACCTATCTTTCTCTCTCTCTCTCTCTCTCTCTCTATATATATATATATATATATATTTTATTGAATATATCTAGATCTAGATAGATATATTATACAATATATAATATATGTAATATATCTCTCTAGATATCGACCTAACTATATCTCCTATTGGTTCTGTTTCTCTAGAGAATCCTTGCTAAGAAGGTCCAGGAAGAGGCCTCATGTCTGTTTGTAGATAATAATATATTTTTAGTGCTTTCTAGTCCTCCACTGAGACTTCTTAGTCAGGTTTAATTTTAAGGTACAAATAGAATAGAATTCCTTGGGTTGAGTACACAGAACCAAGACAATTTGTTATACCCTAATTGTTTAGTGACATAAGCCAAATCGATGGACCTGGCAGAGACATTATCCTGAATGCCACCAATCTGTACCAATAAACAATGTCCACAGGTCCTAAAATTCAATCTAGTTTTGGAGAGTCTCTCTCAATTTTTGGAAATGTTGCAAGCCTGCAGACAGAACCGTCAACTCTCAGGCAAGGTCAGAAGCCTTAGAGAGTGTCTGAGGCAAGTAATATATCTCTTGACCACTGGAAAGGCACACAAATTGCTCAGATATTTCTATAGCAGAAAATTCTGAGGGAGAAATGCTTCTGCAGAGACTCACCTTTTCTAGACAGAATAAGAGTCCCAGAGTATGTTCATAGTTAATGAATATTTTATGAGACTGTTACTTCTATGCACTTGCTCTGATGTCAAGTTTCCTTTAAATGTCTTGCATTTTCTCATCTTGTATTACCCTGAGTTCTGATGTCAAAAATAGAGTACCTTAGATGTGTAAGATGTGTCTTAGCAAGGCATGGTCATAAAGCTTGTTGAAAGTTTAATGGCAGAGGTGTGGGAAGTGGTGGAAACCTGAAATGGAATCAATGGTACCAGGAGACTGAGAACCTCTCACTACAGGGCCTGAGCTATATTATTCTTTGTACATCCACTCTTCAAAGCACAAGATAGCAATTAATACAGATTGACACTGTCACTATCCTCGTAAACTGGATAGATTGATGCACCATACCTGATTAATTTACCTATCTTTCTCCTCAATAGCCTGGAAGCTCTTTGAGAGAATCTTTGTATATTCAGCATGGAGTAAAGGAGGGCTAGATTCAAACTGAGGGGCACTGAGAGGAAGCAATCCTGGGAGTTTGGCAGATGCTGTTATTGTTGAGATGGAAGGTTTGGATCTGACCTTCTGGGCATGGGGTGGTCATGGTTAGAGAAAGACTGTGCCTTTGGGTAGATGTGGTTGAAACTAAATAGTGACTTAGTGACAAAGACAAATTCCAGTCATCTGATTCATCGCTAAAGTTTTTATTTAATAAATACTCGACTTGTACATGTGCAATTTAAGGAGTTGTCAGTCAACTGAAAGTGGTAGCCGCTACCCAAGTCATTTAAGACAGAAACCTTGTCTTAGTGATTCCACCTCCTAAACATCACTTGAATAGAATTTCTTGCTCCCCATTTTCACTCCCTGCACCCTAATTTACACTCTCAGTGACCCCTACTGCCTTCCCTGTGTCCACTATGCTTGCTCTCACTTCATGATCCTTACTGCAGCAAGAGGTAACCTTTTTAACGGAAATCAAATCATTTCATTTCCCTGCTTCAGAAGCCTTAATGGATTCCCACTTACTACAGAATAAAGCCCTAAAGTGACTTCCTACAAGGTCCTTTCTGTTCTTGTCCTTGACTACCTCGATACTACTCCCTTCCTCCTGTCTTCCTCCTAGTCCCATATTCTAGCCACAAGGTACTACTTTACTACTTGTTATTTTCTTTTCTTTCTTTTTTTTTTTTTTTTTTTGAGATGGAGTCTTCCTCTGTCATCCAGGCTGGAGTCTGGATTGCAGTAGCACAATCTCGGCTCACTGCAAGCTCCGTCTCCCAGGTTCAAGTGATTCTCCTGCCTCAGCCTCCTGAGTAGCTGGGACTACAGGCATGCGCCACCACACCTGGCTAATTTTTTTATTTTTAGTAGAGACGGAGTTTCACCATGTTAGAAAGGCTGGCCTCGAACTACTGACCTCAGGCCATCCATCTGCCTCAGCCTCCCAAAGTGTTGGGATTACAGGCAAGAGCCACCACGCCCAACCTACTTGTTATTTTCTGACACTCTTCTGTGTCAAGTTGTTTTTGCAAATGCTGAGATTTTATATATGAATTTAAAGTCTAGCTTCAACTCTCATCTCAAGCTCGTCTCCAGATGCCCCCACCCTCAGACATGTCCCCTGCTCTAGTCACACCCGGTTGACCGGACCAAGGATTTCTAAGAGCTCACGACGTAGCAGAGGTCAAGATTTAAACAAATAATTAGACAATAATGCCAAAAAGGTTTTAGTAGAGGTAGGATCCAATTGCTGAGGAGTACAGGCGAGGTAGCTGTCAGTTTCCTCTGGTGTCTTCAACGAAAGTCACAGGAAACAGGCAGCCTTTGAACCTGGTCTTGAGCGATGATCAGGGTTTCTTCAGGCATTTCTAAGGTGCCGAGTATTGCTTGAAATCTGCTTTTTTTTGTTTTAATATTGCAAGCATACTGCCTTTAATTGTGTTTCTATTGCTAATTTACCTAATCTTTGAAGAAAAGTTTGGTGTTACAGGTAACTTCTAAATTATCGTCAGCTCCCAATTAGAGAAAATGAAATAAATGAGGCTTTTTTGCAGTGCAAATGTAATTGAGGAGGACAAAGGTCACCCAGGACGTGAACAGATTGCCAGAAGGAAACCTACTTATCTGGTCTTCTTTGCTTTCATTTTGCCTTGTTTCAGGTCACAATGACAATAATAGTGTTTTTTCTTTTCTCATTGTATGTGTAGTGGGTTTCTAATGTGGTTATTTCCGCTGGATTCATTTTCACTCCTAGCTCTGCCATCCCCTTCCTCTGAGGCACACCCTTCTCCGGGAAGTCAGTTTCTTCATCTAAACAGTGAAGAAGACTAGCCGAATCTATGGTGTTCACCGTGTGCCTCATAGATCCTGCTACAGGAAGCCCAGACAAACCCCTTTTGCACCTTAGTTTCAGTTAGAGAATCTGTTTTCTCTACTGTGTTCACTCATGCTTCCTCTGGGGATGATTATGACTTGTTAGGTTTTTAACTTTAATTGTGGTATAAAGTGTATAAAGTCTATAGATGTTATATGTATACTCAATGATATTTCATAAAATTAACACACTCCTGTAGCCACTACCAAGATCAAGAGACAGAACATTTTGATTGCCTTAGAAGCTTCCTCAAGCCTCTTCTGGGTCAAACTCCAGTGCCACCCACCCCCCTACAACCCGCTGCCCCTGAGGTAGCCACTATTCCAACTTGAATCACCATAATTTTGTAAGGATTATTGTTGAATTGAATATAAATGGAATGAATCATCATGCATTCATTTGCATCTGACTTCCTTTGCTCAACATAGTATCTGCAAGATTCAAATAAGTCACTTCCTATAGAAGTAATTCATTCTTTTTCATTGGTGAGTTTATTGCTCACGGTTCTGGAGGCTAGGAAGTTTATGATCATAGCACCAGTGGATTCGGTGTCTGGTTCGTTCTTCATAGATGATGATGTCTGTGTGTCCTCAAACGGAGGAAGAGACAGACAGGTGCCCCTAAGCCTCTTTGATAAAGGCACTCGTCCCATTCAGGAGGGTAGAGCCCTCAGGACCTAACTACCTCCTAAAGGCTCCTGCTGTTAGTACTATTACATTGAAGATTAGGTTCCAACATATGAGTTTTGGAGGGACTCAAAATCTTCAGATCATAGCAGCAGGTAAACCAGGAATTCCAGAGTGCCCTGTGAGGGGATATTTGGGGATATAAGGAAATGAAAGTATCCTCTAGGAAACTGAGATCAAGATAAAGAGGCAGCCACAGGTGGAGATGTTGAAGAGGGGACAATTTGCTGTAACTCTGGGCTCCAACAGTGGATACCAGTACATTCATGCCTAAGACCACACTTCAGAGGCCACCCACAATTCTAGGTTGCAAACCATTCTAGCCACTCGGCATCAGAGACCAGCAAAGTTGTAGACAGCAACTCACTTCCTTCTGTGATTCTCTAAGATCACTTATGCTATACCTCTCCATTTATTCCATCTAGATTCTTGCTATGCTCTGAATGTTTGGGTTCCCCTGACAAGTAAATTCATCTGTTGAAACTAATCCCCAGTGTGATGGTATTAAGAAGTGAGGCCTTTGGGAGGTGACTAGGTATCATGAGGGTGGAGCCCTCATGAAAAGGACTAGTGTCCTCATAAAAGAAGCCTGAGTTAGCTTGTTTGACCCTTATACCATGCGAGGATTCAGAAAGAAGGCATCATTTATGAGGAACAGGCCCTCCCTCGCCAGACCCTGAATCTGCTGGTGCCTTGATTTTAGACTTCACAGCCTCCAGAACTTGGAGAAATAAATCTTTGTTGTTGTTTATAAGCCACCGAGTCTATGGTATTTTGTTATTGCAGCCTGAATGGACTAAGACGGTGCCTGTTAAGTCCATTTGTTCTAGGGTGTACTTTAAGTCCATTGTTTCTTTGTTGACTTTCTGTCTTGATGATCTGTCTAGTGCTGTCAATATTGAAATGCCCTACTGTGATTTTGTTGCTTTCTATCTTATTTCTTAGGTCTAGTAGTAATTGTGGTACAAAGGTGTACAAATCTGGGATCTCCAGTGTTAGGTGCATATAAATTTAGGATTATAATATCTTCTTGTTGGACAGATCCTTTTACCTTATATGTGCTTTTTGTCTTTTACAAATATTATTGCTTTAAAGTATGACATTTCCTAGGGAAGTTGCTTTGTGAAACAGCCTGGCCAATTAATGCACTTATGTATAAATTGGCAGAAAAGAAGTCTATATCTTTAAATTGGACTGGAATTCCAAAGTTAATGTGGCCCACATCCTTGAGCTTAAACTTGTCTAGCTCCCAGTCATAAGGGAAAGGCTTTCAGTTTTTTTTTTCCTGTTCACTGTGATACTGGCTATAACTCTGTCATATATGGCTTTTATTATGTTGAGGTATGTTCTTCTTCTATACCCAGTTATTTGAAAATTTTTGTCACGAAGGGATGTCTACTTATTTTTAACACTTGTAGATGGGAAATCTGATGTCCTTACAAGTAAAGTGACATGTTCAAGATGAAACAGTCAATTAATGTTTGCAGCCAGGACCTAAAATCAGGGGCAATCCAATTTAAATTATGGAATGGTCTCAGATTACTAGATTGAGTTTAATCTAGCTTCTCCACCCAGTCAGCATGTGGAGGTGGTAAGGCCTCATTAGGGAGATCAGAGCAGTTTCAGGGAAATAAAGTATGTATTTTTCTGACATAAGAATAGCTACACCTGCTCACTTTTTGTTTCCATTTGTGTCACATATCTTTTTCCAGTCCTTTACCTTAAATTTATATGGATCTTATGTGTTAGATGAGTATGGAAGACAGCAGATATTTAGTTTGTGGTTTTTTATCCATTCTGCCACTTTGCATCTTTTAAGTGGAGCACTTAGGCTGTTTACAGTCAATGTTAATATGAGATGTGGGGTGCTGTTCTATTTATCATGTTAGTTGTTACCTAAGTACTTTTTTCCCCATGCGTTATTGTTTTATAGGCCTTGTGAATTTTATGCTTTAAGGAGATTCTATTTTGGTGTGTATCGAGGTTTTGTTTGAAGATTTAGAACTCCTTTTAACCTTTCTTATAGTGGTGGTTTGGTAGTGGCAAATTCCCTCAGAATTTGTTTGCCTGAAGAAGATTTTATCTCTCCTTCATGTATGAAGGTTAGTTTTTCTGGATACAAAATTCTTGGCTGACATTTATTCTATTTAAGGAGTCTAAAGAGGACCACAGTTCCTTCTGTCTTGTAAGGTATCTGCTGAGAAGTCTTCTGTTAGTCTGATAGGTTTTCCTTTATAGGTTACTTGATGCTTTTGACTCACAGCTCTTAGAATTCTTTCTTTCATCTTGACTTTACATAGCCAGATGACTCCTTGCCTTGGTGATAACCTTTTTGCATTGAATTTCCCAGAATTTCTTTGAGCTTCTTGTATCTGGAAATCTAAATCTCCAGCAAGGCCGGGGAACTTTTCCTCAATTATTTTCTCAAATAAGTTTTCCAAACTTTTAGCCTTCTCTTCTCCCTTAAGAACAGCAAGTATTTTTAGGTTTGGCCATCTTACATAATCCCATATTTCCTAGAGACTTTGTTCATTTCTTTTGATTCTTTGTTCTTTATCTTTGTCTGATTGGGTTAATTCAGAAGCCTTGTCTTCAAGCTCTAAAATTCTTTCTTCTACTTGTTTGAGTCTATTGAAACTTTCCACTGCATTTTGTATTTCCCTAAATGTGTGTTTATAGGAGTTGTGATTGTTTTTTCTTTATGATATCTATCTCTCTGGAAAATTTTTCATTCATATCCTCACTTGCTCTTTTTAAATTTATTTATGTTGGTTTTCTCCTTTCTATGATATCTCTTTGAGTAGCTTAATAGTCAACCTTCTGAATTCTTTATTTGGTATTTCAAAGATATCCTCTTGGTTTGGATACATTGCTAGGGAACTAGTATGATCTTTTGGGGGTGTCATAGAACCTTGTTTTGTCATATTACCAGAATTACTTTTCTGATTTCTCCTCATTTGGATAGACTATTTCTTCAAATTGGTCTTGAATTTATTTTTGATTTGACTGTGTTTTTAAAAATATTTTTCCTTCTTATGGATGTGACTTTAATGTTTATAGTTTATTACTGCCTAATTTGATTTTTGGTGCTTTTAGAGGTGAAGACTCTGTATGAGTTCCTTGTTTATAGCAAGTCTTTGTGTGCTGGCTTTCTTAGATGCTGATGTGGTAGTTATATACTTGATGTGTGGGCAAGTGCACTGCCTCCTATCTGATTGGAATGTCAAGGATCATTGAAACATATCTCATTCGCCTATGTTGTGCACTTCTTTATTTAATTGTTTGCTAATATTTTTTTACTGAGTTGATGGCTCAGGCTTCAGACCAGTAGGGGAGGTATCCCTGGGTAGGCACCAGTTGTAGTAAAAGCAGGTGGGTAGATACAATACCCAATGGTGGGCACAAGTCTCAGCCTTGAAGAACGTGCCTGGGGGAACTGTCAGTTAGATGCACTGAGGTGTCATCAGGGTGAAGGGTGGGAGCTACCTCAGCCCCCATGCCTGGCCAGCAGGAAAGGTATCCACCTCCCAGCCTCACTCTTGTCCCAGTGTTCTGTTTATTCAGATCAGACAGGCACCTCTTTTCATCTGAAAAAAGGTTGATCTTCTGAGTAGAGAGGAATTGTGATTCTACCTCTCATGCAAGCATGAACCTGGGCAGGCCTCCTTTTATGGGGATGCAATCACCCTAAATTGTTCCAGGAAAGTTGTCTATAGGTGTATTCATGCTGAGCTCCCATGGGAAAAGCCCCAGTTGTGTCTGCAGTGATGGACAAGAAGGGAAAAAGGACCCCTTCTCCAAGACCATTCATGAGCACAAAGGCTGCCTGACGGGTGGGGTAGAGGTGCGGACTGCGTGCTGCACCCAATACTACAATTGTGTCTCTGCTGTAAGAAACTTCCCACCAGTGGAAAGATCTAGGACTCAATGCCTGCTGTCCAGATTCTTTTCTTCCATGGTTTGTTCCCTTGATGTTGTGTTCTTTCCCTTCTCCTAGAAGTAGGAGTTTCTGAGAACCAGACTGCACTGATTGCTATTGCTCTTCTGGGTCTAGCCATAAAATGGGGCTGCCACAACCTGGGCTGGTGCTGGGAAATGTCTGCAAGGGATCCTGTGTTGTGACCTGTCTTCAGGTTTCCCAGCAGTGAGTACCTGCATAGCTGTCATGACTGATGTAGACTTTGTGAGAATCCTCGGTTGTAGATAAGCTTAGTGTCCTGGCTTTTTTGAATGCTGGTTATAATTGTAGTGAACTTGTCACACGGGCAGATTCAGGACCATGGTTTACCAGGATGTTGCAAGCAGTGGTGATAGCTGAGGTCACGCAGCCATTTTCTTTTTCCTGAGTGCAGTGTTACTCTACTTAGAGATCTGTAATGAACTATGTCGGTTGGCCTGCAGCCAGAAGGTGGTGCTTGCAAAAGAGTACCAGCTGTGGTAGTATTAATAGCAGTGGGATTCGAGCTTGCCCTAAGTTGCCCAGGGGGAGTATTCTGGTTTCTCTGACAATGGGCTGTGCTATAAAGCTCCCAGGTTTCTGACCTTTGTGTTAAGCTACTAGGGAAGGTAGAGGGACATAGCCAGGTGGGGCAGGGTAAGGTGGGTCTGCACCCTGACTCTTGTTGAGAGGGGCAAGCTGTGGACCCTGTGAGGGTCAGGAGTGGTTTTCAGGCTGCTGAGGTCATGTTCTGGAGGACAGTATAACTGCCTCTGCTGCATAGGAGTTTGCACAGGGAATGGGAAGTAGCAAGTGGCAATGAGCCTCACCCAGCTCCCATGCAGTTGGCAGGACAGATAGCACTCCTGCATTGCTCTGCTAACAGCACTGGATTAAGATCCAGGCAGTCTGCACATAGAATTCAGACCTGCCCCATGCCATAAGCTTTCCCAGCATAGACAACAGCTACTACTTTCAGGCCATGGCCTTCCCCATCTGCCTGCAAGGCCACAAGGCCGGGTGCCCAGCTCCTGTGCATGTGTCTGCAGCACACTTCCCACCTGCACCCCCTTCCCTCCCTCCACCCCAGTTCTGGTCAATGGAGTTTATCTCCACTTGAAGTTATATCACAAAATTCAGTTGGGAGCTTCTTTTACCCTATGACCCCTGCCTGAGCTAGTTGGCTGACTTCCCCAAGGTCCCCTGTGAGATATAATAAGAAATGACTTCGCTTGGTCCACCCTGGTGACTGAGAATGCCTGCAAGGCACTTCCCACTGCTGCTTCTACTGTTATATTTTTCGCTGTTCCCTAAATCAGTTCCAGCTCTGGGTAGGGTTAAGGCCTTCTCCCATGGTCTGGATTTTCAGATTCAGTGGGGATGTGTGTTCTGGAGGCAGACTCTCCCCCTCTTATACTCTGAGGACTTACAGTTTTTTGCCTGTCTCACAGAGTAAGCTGCAGGCTGCCACTTCTTTCAAAGGGTCTGTGGATTCTTTCAGTTTTCCTGTTAAGTTCCTGTGTGACTTCTTGGAAAAAGGTTCACAGTGTGAATCTCTACACAGTATCCTGTCTTTCCAAGTTGGAGAGGCATGCCAATACTGCTTCCAATCCACCATCTTGAAAAAAAATACTTGGGTGATTTTTAATTACTCATAATTTAGACAATAAAGGATATCTTCTTGAACTTTAGAAAAGGAAAGTCAATCAGAATAGGAGCTAGAAAGTATAGCCAAACTATACATTCTCAGAAACTAGTGTCTAATAACATCAGTGTAGGGTACCCAGAACTACTTCTTGCAGAATCTTTTGAAGTCCAGAGTCCAAGCTATATCCCAAGAGAAAATGATGGCATGTCTCAGCTTCATATTTTCTTTTTACATGACTGAAATACTGTAAACACTGGTCTCATTTGGGGAAAAATCTTTCTGTTTATCTCAATCCTCATCACACAGAAGTTCTATCAACAAGTATAGGTGGGCTCTGGCAATATTTCTTATCTTGAAAAAATACAGAACCATCCATTTTGGAAGCTTATTCTTAACTCTCCTATGCATTCTCAGCTTGAGTTTATTTTAATTTTTTACCATGTACTAGATTTTTTTATGTTTAAAATATATGAAATGTAGCTGTAAGCAGAGTTACAAATCCTAAGTGAATTGAATTACCATTATTTTAAGAAACTTTAAGTTGCTAGTCCATTACTCTGATTTTCTAGATAAGACAAGTATAGGAAAATTATTTGCTTAGATTACAGAAGTAATTGGCAACAGGTTCTAGACTCTCATTTTAACAATTTTGTAGCTCTAGAGCAGTCTGATGTTAGGAAATGGGAGGAAAAGGGCTCATTGCTAAATCTCTGCACTGTCATCTCCAGCTGGCCAGAACCGGAAATGGCATGGGCCACAGCAAATCTGAAAAGAGAGTGATTCGTTGAAAGTCTATGAATAGATGAATTAATCTCTTCATTCCCCTTTTGTACCTTTATATGGTTTGTGGCCGGGCATTTACCTCCAAGGAAGTATTTTGACAGAAACTTTCCTAAAACCTCGAAACTAATGGTGAAGGAAGAACTAAGGCGGGTAGTTTAGGGACTATGTCTCCCCATAAAGCCCTCTTCGTTTTGGAATTAGGAACCAATTAGTTCTCTGATTACTCACCCTAAAACCTACCAGTCCCAAATCTACCCATATGCAAGCCCAGTCAACCCTGACATTTTCTCATTATGTTATTTAAATGAACAACTAAGATTTTCTGTATATTTGAAGAAAGCCTGTAGCATGGCCAAGAAAGGTAAAGATGAAAGCAGAACTTACTCAGAAAGAAACAGAGGGAATTTAGAGATCATGAAAGAGCCTAAAAAAGCAAGCTAATTAGCATCCTAGAGAATATGTTTTGAAAATATGTCCACAGAATTTTTGATACTCTTCCCATTAATTTCTCTCACTTTGAATGTGCCCTGGACTTAGTGAATTATCTCCAGTGAGCAAATAGAATATGGCAGAAGTAATAGGATGTCCCTTGGAATATTAGGTTGTAAAAATACTAAGAGACTAGAGCTTCCATCTTGGGTTCTCTTTCTCTCTCCTTTCCTCCTTTTCCTCTCTTCTTCTTAATGCTTACTCCTCTAGGGGAAGCCAGCTGCCACGTCTTGAGGCATCCTTGGAAAGAAAAAAGCCAGCATCTATGTGTTGAGAAGGGCTCCATGTGGAGAGGACTGGGACTTGTCAGCAGTCACATGAGTGAGCTTGGAAGCACAGCTTCTGAATCTTGCCAATAATCGTGTGTGAGCTTGGAACTGATCTTCAGTGAGATGACTGCAGCTTTGGTGGACGTCTTAATTGCATTTTTGTGAGAGACCCTGAGCCAGAACCACCCAGCTAAGTGGCTCCTGGATGTCTGGCACATGAACATTTGGAGATAATAAATGTTTGTTGTTTTAAACCAGTAAGTTTGGGGTATTAATATATATTTGTAGTGTTAAATCAAGTTTATCCTAAAGCTACCTCCTTACATATTTAAGTTCGGCCTAAAGGTTTTCCTGTACATCATGAACTATAATAAGTGGAGGTGTAAACCGACCATAGCCCACGCCTGTGCCAATGACTGAGTTTTGGCCAGTCAAACGTAGCCAACTGTTTGAACCATGTTTGAATAAGGCAAATGCCAAGCTGTAAACAATCCAGTTGTTTCTGTACCTCACTTCCATTTCCTGTGCATCACTTTCCTTTTGCTGTCGGTTAAATCTTCTTCCACCATGTGGCTGGGCTGGAGTCTCTGTGAATCTGCTGTGATTCTGGGGGCTGTCCGATTGTGAATCATTCATTACTCAATTAAACTCCTTTAAATTTAATTTGGCTGAAGTTTTTCTCTTAACAGTAGAAAACAAATACAGAGTGGTTCAAGATGAAATTGCATAATTACAAGAAAGGAGGATACTATGAACAATTAGGGAATACAAAAGAAGAACTCTTGGAAATTAGAAAATGGTTGTCATGTTTCGAATTCAGTGGAAGGATTGGACACAGAGAAAATGTAAAAAGGTAAATTATGCAAGAAAGTATGAAGCTCAGAGGCTCAAATCAGGAGGTCTAGCATCCAGCTAGTAGAAAAAGGATCTTTTTTAGAAACAGAGAACCGACAAAATAAAGAGGAAGAAGTGAGCTTAAAAACCAAACAAGAATCTCATAGCTGAATGGAGAGATGAGTTTTAAAATTGCAAGGGCCTACGGAGTGCAAATCACAAAGAATGACAAAAAGACCCCTTGTGAATTTCAGAGGCTCCGATAACTTCCTTTGATCTCTGATAGGAAAAAACAAAAACAAGAACAAAAAACAGGCTATATATAAAGAAGGAGAACTGTATTTTTTTTTATATCCACAACACTGGATAGTAGAAATCAGGAGAATAATGCTTTGTGTATACTTTGTGAAAATTATTTCACCATAGGTTTCTATACCCGACCTGTTTTACCTGAAATTACCTGTAGTTTTGCCAGAAACCCTAAAATAACATTGACATGAATAAGTTCAAAATTTCTTTCTATGCACAAGCTCTGGTAAGCGTTCCAGGGCTGCTATGGCATTCAGCTCAGAGACCCAAGCTTAATTCTATCATGAAGATAGTGACATTCATGTTCCAGGCCCCATCTAAAGTATCGACACAGAAGAGTTTAAGTGGATCGCATGAGGTGTCTCTTATGGATAATTGTGGGAAGCTACCACGTTATACTGCTTCTCATATTTTATTGGCCACATATACTTACTTACAAGGGAAGCTGGGCAATGTCTTTATTCTGGACAGACCTGTGACCAGCTAAATATTTTATTACTATTGAAGAAGGGAGAATAGATACTAGGAGACTACTAATAGTCTCTACCATCCTAATCAAGGTTTTAATTAAGTGTGAGGGAAGAATATAGGCATTTTTCATATATGCATGGACTCAGAAAAATTGACTTCACCTGCTGTCTTTCTTAGGAAAATTATTTAGGGTTTTAAGCCATAAAATCAAGAAGGTAAGCAAAGAAAGGGAATGAGTACACAAAAACAATGCCTCTAATTCTTGAGAGGAATGAGTAGTAGTCCCAAGATTTGAGATGAGCAGTAGGCCTTCAGAGCAATCAGTCCAGACAGAATCAGGAAAATGGAGGGCTTTGGGAAGAAGGGCTTCATGGAAAATAAGGATTTCTCAGAATAGAGGGAGAAGATGCAAGAATTTGAGTATGTGAATAAGGCAAAAACAAAAATCAAAAAGACAAACAACAACAAACAACAACAACAACAACAAAACCAGAATAGAAATAGAAAACTCCAAACTTCAGAATAAAGAAGAGTTGTGTAAGAAGCATGTTCTGAATATAAAACAACCAATTCAGGAGATTAGAGGGATTCAAGAAAAAAAGATAAATAAATTCCAAACAATGGAAAGAATGAGTAAGAAATTGGAAAGCATCAGGGGTGTGGTGAAGAAGGTACTGTATGTAACTTCCTTTCCCAACGAGAAATAAGGAAAGGAAATCTCAAGGTCCCAAAACTATACAAACAAAAAATGTAAAGACATGTTATTCCAATATGAAACTAGCTAACCTATGACATAATTTTGAATGTAAGAAAGGAAAACCTGTGTAAATGTTCTTTGTTTGTTTAAAAATGGACGTTTACTTTTTAATTTGTTAGAATTGATGAACTTGCATATTATCATCACCCAAAGTCCATAGTTTATATTAGGGTTCACTTTTCTTATGACTAGTCGAGTATCACAATGGATAAGAGGTGGGAATCACAGAGAAGAAAATGGAATCATAGCTCGTGACTTGACTCTGCACCTTATGATATTGACTTATAATAACACAAATGCTTCTGATTTTTTAGTGTCATCCTTGTGTCAAAGCACAGAAAAATGATGTTAACAAAATTGAATATCAATAGTATCAACCTGCATAATGGATAAATAAAATATAGTGGTTAGAAGTTGGCAGGTGGTAAGGGGAAGGAAGTGTGGAAGGAGACTTTCAAAGTTGGAAGTCAAGGGAATTTCTATCATTAATGAAAAAATGGAATTTTACATCCACAAATAATCAAATGATACAAAACATTAAATGTTATGAATTAGATAATATCGGTCCCAAGTATCTGAAATATAAATGATATTATGATAAAAAATACATCAAGTTGTACCTTTTTATAGATCAGATTTTGGGGAGTATATTGGTGGAGATATGGTCTTCTGGCTTTCCATTGGCAAAGTAATTGTGTGAACTTGAGCAGAAGAGTGCTGCTAACTTGAGTCTAAGTTCTGTTTCATTCTAAGATTCAGGCCTATCTTTTGTAATAATGAGCCTACTTCCATTTTTGATGTTTGGTTGCTGGTGAGTTTCAAATCCCAGTATGCCCCATTTCCCTCATAAGAAAGCCTGAGTGCTCCCTCTTTTGGTGCCAGAGAGAAGTTAAAACCACACAAGCTTAAGCCAGTCTCCTTTTCCTGTTTTCCCAAGCCATTTTCAGAACATCTTGGGCATCTACTCTGCTCTGTTTAAACTAGTGTGAGTAATAAACCTTTTCATACCCTCTTGGGGTGTGTGTGTGTGTGTGTGTGTGTGTGTGTGTGTGTGTGTGTGTGTGTGTGTGGCTTCCTCAGTCTCAACATTAAAGCCAAATTTTAGAGTGATGGGAGACCCATTTTGCTTCTAGAGGTGGCCGCAGCACCTGTACTGTCTAGAGTGTGATTATGGGGGATTCACTAGGAAGTGTTTATAGGAAGTTTGAGAAGCTCTCTGGGAGAAAACTCCCCTTTGGACAAGTAAGATTTGAGGGAAGGTAGTTGGTTCAAAAGCAATAGGCCAGTGGCTCAAGAGAACAATGTCTACCATTCCATCCTCTGACACAGCTCCTATAAATTAATACCTTATTCTTCTGGAAATATGGGGTATCCAGAAACCTAATATGTTAAAAAGAGATCTATAAAAAGTCAATATTTTGCTTTAATGAAGGATATTGGGAGGGGTTCATTCAGCTTGATTATGGTGATAATAGCAGTTATTTCTTTATACCCAACAGTGACATCAACAGTGGTAGTCATGATGTTACTGCCTTCAGTACATAACGTCAGGCAGCAGGGCTCTTGGTGCAAACATTAGCACCAGTAACCTTTATGATCCACCTCTGTGTAGTACCAACAGCACCTAGTGAGAGCATAATGTTTGCTGTGGATTTAGACCTTCTGAATTAGAATCTTGGCTCCACCACTTTTTATTTTGGGTGAGATTACTTCTTATAACTTCAGTTTCCTTATATGGAAATAGGAGAAAATAGTAGTGTCTATTTCAGAGGGTTGTTTTAAACATTAAATAAGCTCTAAATTTATAACCAACTGTAAATCAGTTAGGACAGTGTTTGGCACATAGTACATACTTATTAACTGTTGGTTATTATTAGTGTTATTATTAATGTTATTATAACTTTTGGTGTTGTCAGACCAGAAGCATTACTTATTAATGCTGGAGAACCAAATAGCAAAAATGGCATGCCTTTTCATAGTCAAAGTATTTGTAAGAGAGTGAGAGTCTTCCTTAGGAACACGTAATTGTTTGGGAGGAAAGAGAAGTGGTCCAGAACTAGAGAAAGAACATTCTGAGACTGTCACTTTTCCTTGTAGGCAGAAGAGATCAGAGAAGTACTGGTCACAGTAAATGCGTTGTTGATGAGGTCACTAGCCTTGGGGGTATTTTCCTTTGGCAACTCGAAAGGTAGAGGAAGTTACCTTTTTGTGTGTTTATCCAAGGGTTGTTTTATTTAGTTGATGTCAAATGGAACCTAATAGACCTAATGGTTTTGAATAACATTGGTTTGGTTCTTTATTAAATTGAAGTGCCGATTTTCAGAGTTTCAACATTTGGTAAGTGTCTCCTTTTTCTTTCTGGGCAGCTTTTTCTTTTCCTTCTCTGACTCTACTGTCCTGCATTTCATTCTTTCTAGGCAGCGTGTCTCCTCAAGTGGAGGTACTCCACTTTATTCTTTTTGTAACTTCAGAATCTAGCCCAGTGCCACACTTTTGACATTTAATTAATTGTTTGTTAGATAAATGAATGAATCCACAGAGTATTAGATTTATTATTTATTTATTTATGTATTTAGTGATGGGGTCTCACTCTGTCACCCAGGTTGAAGTGCAATGGTGTGATCTTGGCTCACTGCAGCCTCCACCTCCTGGGTTCAAGTGATTCTCCTGCTCAGCCTCCCAAGTAGCTGGGATTACAGGCACCTGCCACCACACCCAGCTAATTTTTGTGTTTTTTAGTAGAGACGAGGTTTCACCATATTTGCCAGGGTGGTCTCCAACTCCTGAACTCAAGCGATCCACCTGCCTCAGCCTCCCAAAGTGCTGGGATTACAGGCGTGAGCCACCATGCCTGGCCAAATATTGGATTTAGATCGACAGACAATGCCATGGAAAATATGGAAAAAATAGAAACCATTCAATGTGTTCAGTGTTTAGTGATTGCATGCGTAGACACCCATATATTGATTGTTATGTTATTCCCATCAAATTCATCATTTAAAATGAGAACATTAACTTGCTGTAGTGGTTTTATTTCACTAGATCTGTTTATGTGGGCAGGGACCAACAGGCCATTCATTGGCTATGAATGTTCTATTTCTCCCACATGATATGGAAAACACATTTTTGAGAAGGAATGAAAAACATTTCCCTAACTGCATAGACTTCTTGTTTCAACCTGTGGTAGAGATTGACTCACTAGTTTGGACATGGGTGTTTACTCTCATCATTCTCTCAAAAGTGATCAAGAAAATGCAAGGCAACTTTCATCGCTCTTCCCTTTCTAGGTGTGTAACTGGTACTGGAGGATGCAGTGCTTTTCCTCAAACTGCTCTCTTTCTTGTTGAGTTCAGAGGAAGTCCACTGTGGGCTCACTCTACTGATGCACCAGAAAATGCCAGAAGGGCATCTAGGGCAGAGTTTCTCTCTGGTCTCACTCCGGAGACTGGTACTTATCTAAGTTTCCTACCAAGGCTCAAAGGGGAATGGGAGAGAGAATACCCAAGCAGCTCCAACTTAGGTGATGGGTGGAAGCAAACAAGAAGAGGGAAATGTTGCAAAAACAATAGCAAAGACTTGGAACCAACCCAAATGTCCAACAACGATAGACTGGATTAAGAAAATGTGGTACATATACACCATGGAATACTATGCAGCCATAAAAAATGATGAGTTCATGTCCTTTGTAGGGACATGGATGAAACTGGAAACCATCATTCTTAGCAAACTATCACAAGGACAAAAAACCAAACACCGCATGTTCTCACTCATAGGTGGGAATTGAACAATGAGAACACATGGACACAGGAAGGGGAACATCACACACCGGGGCCTGTTGTGGGGTTGGGGGACGGGGGGAGGGATAGCATTAGGAGATATACCTAATGCTAAATGACGAGTTAATGGGTGCAGCACACCAACATGGCACATGTATACATATGTAAGAAACCTGCACATTGTGCACATGTACCCTAAAACTTAAAGTATAATAATAATAAAATTAAAAAATAAATAAAGAAAAAAAGAAGAAAAAGAAAACCAAAAAAAAAAAAAAAAAAGGAAGAGGGAAACGTGAATGCGTTGCAGTTGAGCAGCACTGATCTAGAGAATCCCCATCTTTGAGATCCCAGTTAATTGAATATTAATGACAGTTTAAAGACCTCCTGCTTCTGTTTAAGTAAGCATTGTAAGTTATCTGCTTCTCAAATTACTTTAGAAACAAACTCAAGGAGAAAGCATCATCATAGCTTGGGTCTAGCATAGTGCATTAGCTTTGCTCTTGCCCTGCTGATTTAATTGACCCAGTAAGCATGCTTGAGGTGTTTGGGGTTGTAATTAAAGTTGTGGCGCCTGGAAAATCCTCCTTCTGTTATTATATTTTTTTCTAAAATAAACTATCCTAGCTCACCAAACTTGTGGGGCTAATTAGAGCCTAATTAAAGTTACTTGTTTCTATTTTAAAATCTGCCCACTGAGAGAGCCGCAAGGCAGGAGGGAACATATTTTTAAAGTGACAGTTCTAAAAATGCTTCTTACCCTAGTCCCTGAGCTGCACTGTTCTAATTCATGCACTGATTTATTTCCAATGAGAATAACAACCTGCCTCTGTCTTCACTGAAGCTTTGCTCCCCAGGCCCCATCTCATTTAGCTGTGTGAAAGGATTTGCTTCATGAACAAAATACTTTTCTTTGTCATGCATCTTTCTGTTGGAGAAACTGACCACTGCATACAGAGGGGAAGTAATCCAGAAAAGGGCTCATGAAAATATCTGATGCACAGAGACCAGGAATCAGTACAGTGCTGTATCTGAAGAGGAAAAGAGCATTGCATTTGTTGAGGACTTATCATGTGGTAGATGTGTTTCCGAACAGTTATAGGTAAGGAAATAGGAAGCAAGAAAGGGTGAAATTAGCTGCCTAAGGCCCTACAGCTAATAGTGGTGGATCCCGAATCCAAAGCAAGGTCTGATTCAAACTCTTACCAGGTTTCCATGATCCCTCCTGAGAAGTTGCATGTTCCCCAGCCAGGCATTGCCTGTTACCAAGGCAGTAACCGACTCTCTGCCTCCAGGGTTCTTCTTTTGTAAAATGGAAATAGCAGTGCTCATTTCCTTGATTTAGGAGGTTAAACTTTACAATGGTGCAAAAGCGATATTCATTCAGTAGAAAGTATACTTGAAATTCAGAATTTTGATCTTTTCTTGGGCCAGTGATATGCAATGTGATACTCTCTCAAGGTGCTGGGCAAAGGCAGCCAGCCACTGCTCCCAGTCAGCCAAGCAGTCACAAAGGTAAACAAGCCACACTCTCCATTGTACTGGTTGCCAGCATTTTTTTGATATTGTGTTTTGTAGTTTTGCATTTCTTCATGTCTACAAAATGCCCGTTGTCAACTTACTGTATTTTCAACTTATGCTGGGTTTATTGGGACATGACCTTATCAAAAGCAAAGGAGCATCTGTACCTAGGTTTCCACTTGTCTGAGTTGTGATGAATATCAAGAGAGTGAATTCGAAAGTTCTTTATAAAATGTAACACTCACAGATTAGTCTTAGCAGAGCTGTGAATATTTTAAGACCTCTTAATTATTAACCTCTTTAGGGGTATTACTTTAATAATCTTTATGCCAGAGGCAACTAAAATACATGTCTTAGCCTATTTCCTTTGGTACAGGTACTTCTGCTAAAAGACGGATCTTCCTTCTAGATAACCGACCCTCTTTACATGAGAACACTCTGTTATATGTTACTAAAAGATGTTTAACACAGCAGTGGGCCAGCATGATTTGCAGCCTTTCTCTTCCATAATTGTTCCCTGGCTCCAGTTTTTCCTGTGACCACTAACAACTCAGGCCAAGGTGTTCTCCTGGTGGCTGGTGTGACTCCCCAGGCAACTTCATATGGTACACCACAGTCTCTCCCACTCCCTCCAAAAGGAAAGGAAAAGGAGACAGAAGTCAGACAGGGCCTAGACTAGACTGAGGTAAGTAGAGTCCAGGTCATAGCATTTAAGGAAGCAACCATTCTCAGGATCATGCGCATGCAGGATTGACACACAAAAGTGAGTGCCTCCTTAAACTTTGTGCCCGGGTGCATCCCTTGCTTTGCTCTAGGCCAGGGCCTGATCACCAGTGTCACAAACATCTTAGAATGTTTGTAAACATTTACTGAGGATCTGTTTCTCATTATAGTCTCTGGTTGTGGCTTTAATTAAGTTTGGATATTTGTTCCTTGTCGAGACTGTGCCAGTTTTTCATAGCGTATGCCATGCTAGTACAGGATATAGACTATAAGCAAAATAAAATTAGTTACAGTGTATTGATTGCCTACTGAAAACCAGGTCTGTAATTAGCAACTCTGCATACATCATTTCTACTAATCACAACTTTTTCCTACATAATGAAACTGATGCTCAGAGAGGTTCAATTCTGTTTGGCAAACTCTGTATTTGTTGCAGAACTAGAAAAGATAGTTTGATTGGCTATAGTAGGAGAGAGGGTGGCTAAATTCCCTTCCTCTTCTCTGGCTTATTGTCTGTGGACATTTGAATCATCATTTGGGAATGCTTTACATAAAGAGGAAGATGAAGGACACGGAAGGCTCTCAGATCGCCTGATGAGGAATGATAATAAAGTTCTTGGGTGATTTTATACATAACCAGAAGTACGTTAAGCAGCTGTGTTAGGAGCATGATATAAAATGTATTGGTGTAACTACTCAACCTTTCTTTTCTAACTAGACTAAACAGTCACTACTTAAAGGCATTTTACCTGAGTTACAACATTGTATAGATAGTACCAGGGATCAGATTCTATAATCAATCCATTACTACCTATTATATTATTGCCATGACTATAATCCTAAAAAACTGTGAAAAGGTTTTGATGGACAAGGGGGATGTTGAAATATATATAATGTTTAGGTGCTGCCAAGAAAACCTGGAAGACGTATAAGGTGAGGGCTCTGAAGACATATTATTTAAGCTTTGCCTTGGCTGAGGTTAAGCTTTGGGGTTTATCAACAATTAGCTCTTGTATTTTTCTTTCTTTCATTCATTCTGTGTTTCTACAGCAAAAGAAATTGAATAGTCATGCAATGGTCATGGATGGAGCTTTTAGAGTTTCTTAACAGACTGTGGCATGCGGAGTTACAGTGCTAACAACCTGACTCCACACAGCATTCCAGATAGTATTTCTCAGAAGTAAATGCATATAAGGATATTTGCCCTGACATCATGGGGCAAAAAATAGAAATTGCATATATTTAAATTGTTTCATTCAGAAAATAATTATGGTAAAATTATGAAAAAAGATTTAAAACTAGATAAAACCTTTACCTTTAGTATGTTCTAGGCTTTGGTCATAGGTATTCTATTGTTTTTCTTTTTGGTTGTTTTCTGTTTTTTTGTGTTTTTCTTTTGAGACGGAGTCTCACTGTGTCTCCAGGCTGGAGTGCAGTGGCGCCATCTCGCCTCACTGCAACCTCCAACTCCCGGGTTCAAGCGATTCTCCTGATCAGCCTCCTGAGTAGCTGGGATTACAGGCACCTGCCACCATGCCCGGCTAATTTTTGTATGTTTAGTAGAGATGCGGTTTCACCATGTTGGCCAGGATGGTCTTGGTCTCCTGACCAGCCTCCCAAAGTGCTGGGATTACAGGCGTCAGCCACCGCACCTGGCCCTATCGTTTTTTTTGTTGTTGTTTTTTTTTTTTTTTTAAGGCACATAATATATTTCAGTGAAACAGATAAAGGGCAATGTTGGGCGTAGAACAGGATCAACAGTGACTGAGAAGCTTTGGGTTGAGTGGCAGTGGGCAGAGGAACTGATCTTTCTGATTTTTGCAGCACTGACTTCAGCAGTGATGCAAAGCCAATACTTTTCAGAGGAGAGCAGAAGTTTGCAGGCAACTCCAGGGGACGCTTCCCAGCATGAAACGAGCAAGAGTCATTCATATATATCTCTTACTGGGAAAGTGGGAAGCTCTGGAGTGGGAAATCTTTGTGTTAGATTACATCCAGTTTCTCAAGTCTGGTTGTCACAGCAACTGTGAGCATCTCTGGCAGGTAAAACTTCTTGTCTTCTCACCTTCTGTGCCAGTCACTGCACAGATTGAATTTAATTACCTATTGGAATAGCCTTCCAGAGTCTGACTGCAAGCCTTGCTCATAAGGCAGCGTTAGAGAAAATCTGGATTCACTAAAAATCTCTGAAAACCATTTTGTTTTTGTTGTACAAAACGTTGTTCCCTTGCCTTTGTGTAATTGTAAGAAAACTGCTTTCTCTATTTACGTCAAATTGCCTAATTAATACTAATAAAATTGTGGCATCTACATAGACTTTACAAAAATGTTGGGGTCACAAAACATAAAATATATCATTATATTTTCCCCCATTTTATAGACATGTACATACAGGATTTACCAGTTTGTACATTATATTAGGGTGAGCTAGTTACAGTATTAGCCTAAGATCAAAGAGGGGGAGATTCCCTTTGTTATATTATTCTCATAATCTCCAGTACCAGTAGAAAAGGAGCTATATGAGGTTGAGCTACATATTGTCCATAACATGCATACATACACACACTTATATGCATTCTCTAGGAGAAGTGGCAAAGTAAGTATAAATTAGAACAAAAACTACCATGACATTGAGATATTGGCTCCTTCCTGCTTCTTCCTGAATCTTGACATGAGCAGACTCAGGCATAGATAAATTAAATGTTGGTACCACTCAGGGTGGATATTTTTGCCATTTGTTAATATATGCTAAGTGCATTCTCGGAAATGTATGATGGGAAAAACATACATGTTAAGATTTAGATCACCAGAGGGAAGAGTTGCCCATGCCGTAGCATGTATGGACAACCTAATCAGCAGAACAAAATTTTACACATGTGTCAATTATAATGAGGACAAAAAGGCCTGTTTAAAAAAACACTTTATTAAGATATGATTGACATGTAAACAGCTGTACATATTTAATTTATACAACCCCATAATTTTGGGGACAAGTACACACTCATGAAATCATCACCACGATAAAGGCCATAGGTATATCCATCACCTCCCAAAGATTTCTCCCACCTCCTCTATTATAATTACTTTTTGTGGTAAGAACACTTAACGTCAGATATACTCACTTCGAAAATTCTAAGTATATAATAGAGTACTGGTAGCTATATACACTATGCTTTATAGTAGATCTACAGAACTTATTCATCTCGTACAACTGAAACATTGTACCCTTTGACCATCATCTCCTGAGGTCCCCTCCCCTAGTCCCTGACGACCACTCTTCTATCCTTTGTTTCTATGAGTTGGATTAGTCTAGATTCCAAATATAAGTGAGATCATGCAGTATTTGTGTTTCTGTGCCTAGCTTATTTCACTTAACATTCTTTCTCAAGGTCCATCATATTGTGGCAAATGTCAGGATTACCTCTTCATTTTTGAGGCTGAAAAATATTCCATTTATATATAGAACATATTTTAAACATCTATTCATCTGTCAAGAGATATTTAGGTTGTTTTCACATCTTGGCTATTGTGAATAATGCCATGATGAACAGGGGAATGCAGATACCTCTTTGAGATCCCGATTTCAATTCCTTCGAATAAATATCTAGATGTGGGATTGCTGGGTCATAATTAGTTCTATTTTAAAGTTTTTGAGGCTTCGTCATACTGTTTTCCACAATGGCTGTACCAATTTACATTGCCAAGACCAGTGTACCAGGATCACATTTCTCTGAATTATTGCCAACATTTATATTTTGTTGTTCTAATAATAGTTATCCTAACAGGTGTGAGGTGATATCTCCTTGTGGTTTTAATTTGCATTTGCTTGATGATTAGTGATACTGAGCATCGTTTTATATACCTGTTGGCCATTTGAATGTCTTCTTTGGAGAAACGTTTATTGAGATCTTTGCACATTTGCTAATTTTTAAATTGTGTTATTATTATTATTATTTTGCCCTTCAGTTGTAGGAGTTCCTTATATATTTTGGAAATTAACCCCTTATCAGATATATGGTGTTTTAGCTCAAGTTTCTATAACAAAATACCATAAACTGGGTAGCTAATAAACAATAACAATTTATTTTTTAAATATCTGGGGGCTGGAAGTCAAAGGCCAGGATGAAAAGATGCTTGAGTTCTTATGACAGCCCTCTTCTGGGTTGTAGACTGTCTATTTCTCCTTGTATCCTCACATGGCAAAGAACACAGAGAGGAAGCAAGCTTTCCTGTGACTCTTAAGGGCACTAATCCCGTTCATGAGGGCTTCGCCCACATAATCTCATCTAATTGTAATTACTTTTCAAAGTCTCCATCTCCTAATACCATCACTTTGTGGGGTAGGGCTTTAATATATAAATTTAGGAGGGATACAAACATTCAGTTTATATCATATGCATTGCAAATAATTCTCCCATTCCATAGGTTGTCTTTTCATTTTGTGGATTGTTTATTTTGCTGTGCCTAAGCTTTATAGTTTATTGTCATTCCACTTTTATGTTTGCTTTTGTTGCTTGTACTTTTGGTGTCACTTCCAAAAAATCATTGCCAAGACCAAAGTCAAGGAACTTTTCTACTATGTTTTCTTCTAAAAGATTTATGGTTTCAGATCTTACATTTTTAAGTCTTTAAATTCATTTTGAGTTAATTTCTGTGTGTGTGTATGTGTGTTGTAAGATACGGGATCAAATTCATTGTTTTGCCTGTGGATATCCAGTTTTCCCAACATCATCTATTGAAGAGAGTATCATTTCCCCATTGTGTATTCTTGGCCACCTTGTCAAAGATTAGTTGACTGTATATAGGTGGTTTATTTCTGAGCTCTCAAATCTGTTCCATTGGTGTATGTGTCTGTTTTTATTCATGTACCATCAATGTTGTTTTGATTACTATAACTTTGTAATATAATTTGAAAGCAGGAAGTATGATGCCTCCACCTTTGCCCCTTTTGTTGAAAATTGCTTTTGCTATTCTTGGTCCCTTGTGGTTTTATAAGATTTTACGATTTTTTTTTCCTATGTCTGTGAAAAATGCCACTGGAATTTTGAAAGGGATTTAATTGAATCTGTAGATTGTTTTTGGTAGTATAGACATTTAACAGTACTAATTATTTTAATCCATGAACACAGGATATCTTTCCATTCATATGTGTCATCTTTAATTTCTTTTGTCAATATTTTATGTTTTAAGCATATAGATCCCTTGTTACTTTTATTCCTAAGTATTCTTTTTGATGCTATCGTAAATGGAATTATTTACTTGATTTCTTTTTTGGATAATTCATTGATAGTGTATGGAACACAATTAATTGTTGTTTGTTGATTTTGTATCCTTCAATCTTACTGAATTCATTTGCTAGTTTTAATAGTGTTTTGGTGGAGTTTTTGGAGGTTTTCATTTATAAGATCCTCTCATCTGTAAACGAAGACAATTTTACTTCTTCCTTCTCAATTTGGATACCTTTTATTTCTTTTGCTTGCATCATTGTTCTGGCTATCACTTCCAGTACAGTGTTAAATAAAATGGTGACCATGAGCACCTGGGTCTTGTTCCTGATCTTAGAGGAAAAGCTTTTAGCTTTTCACCATTGAGTACGACTTTAGCTGTGGGCTTGTTATATACAGACTTTATCATGTTGAGGTAAGTCCCTTCTGTAAAAAATTTGTTGAGAGTTGTTTTTTTAAAAATATTTTAAATTTTGCAAAATGCTTTTTCTGTATTTATTGAGATGATCATTTATTTTTATCTTTTTTCCATAAATGCGGTATATCACATTTATAGATTTGCATATGTTGAGCCATCTTTGCATCCCTGGGATAAATCCCACTTGATCATGATGTGTAATCCTTCTAAGATGCTATTAATTTGGTATACTAGTATTTTACTTAAGATTTTGTTATTGATGCATAATAGGTATACATAGTTTTGGGGTTCATATAATAATTTAATACGTTCATATATTTGTAAATATTAAATAAATGTACTTGGGATACCTATCACCTTAAATATTTGTCTTTTTATGCTAGAACCATTTCAATTCTTCTCTTGTAGCTATTTTGAAATATACAATAGATTATTGTAAACTATAGTCACCCTACTGAACTATCTAACACTAGGCCTTATTTTGCATCTATGTTTATCTGTGTTATTGGCCTCTAATTTTATTTTCTTATAGTGTCTTTGTCTGGCTTTGGTAATAGGGTAATTCTGGCCTATTACCAAATACTATATTACAATGGTACCCGCTTGTATGCGGAAGTCTTAGAGTTGTGTGCCTTCCATCAGCCCTGCTAAGCCAGGTTGGGTGCCGAGAGCCTTTCTTTTATTTTCTCTAGAGCAGTGCCCTGAAGTGTTCAAGGTTGTACACCTTCTCCCAGTCCAGCAGAGTTGAGCCACCTGCTGATATCTGTTTGCTGTGTATGGGGACTTCATGCACCACCTGATGAGGTTTGCATATGCTATCTGTGAGGGAATGTGTGTGTGATCTCTGGTGGAATTCGGGGCATTGCCTATGGGGGTGCTGGAGTGCTAGAGACATGTATCAGTTATTGGAGTAAATGTGCAGGTGTGGCACCCCACATGGCTCATGGGTGAGGCTCCTGGTGGAGCGTGCAAGCTGGTCAGTAGGATCTTTAGCTAGTTGTTGAGATCCGTGTGCAGGCTTCTGTCATGCCCTGCCCCTTTTCTCTGTTCCTAGCTGCCCCAGATAATACAATCATGTCAATACCCTCAGTGTTTTGGGTAGTGTGGGACAGTTTGGTGTCTCCTGGGCCGCATCTGCAGCCAGGGGAGCTGGGCGCTCACTAACTATGCTCTCTTTTTCCTTCACGGGAGACATTGTGGACTGAGGGGTACTTCTCTTGTCACTGAGCTGGGCCACCTGGGGGTAGGGGTGATGCAGGTACAGTGAAACTCTTTTTCTTATACTCCTCAACGCATCTATTCTCAGATTTTTCATTCCAATGGTATGCTGGGACCTCTCCGCTGAACCTTGGGCTTCCATAAAAGTATTCCTGTCTGTAGGTGGTTCTTAAAATTGGTGTTCTGGTAGAGGTTTGGGGGCTGGAAACTTCCATTCTGCCATCTTGCTAATGTCCAAGAAGGCCTATGATAAATAATTAACTGTTGTTAAACTCATCTAGAGATTATGGACTGGAAAAGGATAGAAATCCTCCAGAGGATTAGTTAGGATTATTATAACCACTCAAAGGATCTAGCTTTTTGCTTTTCTGGACGTCACTAGCAAAGCATTTAACACACATTTACTGAGTACGTACTGTGTGTCACACACTGTAAGACACCAGAGTTATAGTAATTAGAGACAGTCGTACCCTTTGCTGAGTTTATGGCCTAATAGTGGAGATAGACATCATTCAAATATTTTCACAGTTAAAATTTACAACAATGAAACGGTACCACTGAGAAAATACAATAGGAAGCACAAAAAATGATAGCAGGCAGATAGTATCTTGTTTGGGAGCTTATAAAGGCCTTTCTGAGACCATGACATTTAGATTGCGATTTGATACATGATTAGGTGAGGGATAGGCTAAGGGTGGTGTGGAAGAGAATTTCTCACAGAGAGTATAGCCCAGATCAGGAGCTTGAAACATTCCTGGAAGTAAGAGAATCCAGTGTAGCTGAGGTAGCTAAGGGAAGAATGGTAGAATGTGAATACAGAGTGGCAGCCAGAGGCCATACAATACAGGGTCTTACAGACTTTGAGATATTTTTCTAGGAGCAACTGGGAGCAATGGGAAGTCTTCAAAAAGTTTAGAGCAGGGGAGTGACATCAGATTTACATATGAGAAGACTTACTCTGGCCACTATATGGAGAATGGAGGGAGGACAAGAGTGCAAACAAAAGGATGGTGGTAGAGTAGATGAACAGACTTGGTATGTGCTTCAAAGGATAATCTACAGTACCTCGTGAGTAATTGAAGGTGCAGAAAGAGACACAAAGAAGTCAGGGATGATTCTAAGGCTTCTTGCTTTAGCAATTGTGTGAATAGAGGTGCTATTGACTGAAATAGGAGTGGCCTTGAGGAAGAAGTTGTTAGTTCTATTTTGGACATTAATTTTAAGATACTCAAGAAGCATCCAGATGGAGATATCAAAAACCCAGTGGGAGTATGGTATTCAAGGGCAAAGTTTGGGCTTAAAGTTATGAAAATAGAAGAATCACTTAAAAAGAGAGTTTAGTTAGGAAAAGTACCGAGGGACAAGCAACAGAACATTGAACCAATAATGGAAAAAGAAAGAAGAAAAAAAAAAATCAGTGGTCATTAAGGGAGGGGGATAATCATGTGAGTGTCAAATCATAAAAGCTGAGTAAGAAGGATGTTTCACACAGAAGGGAATGGGTTAACTTTATCGAATAGTGCTAAGTCAAGTAAAATGATAAACATACAACATGAAAGTTACTGATATCCTTAGTGAAAGCAGATTTTATGGAGTGACGGGACAGAAAAGAGTGGAGTATGTTGAGGAAAAAATGTGAGGTGAGAATATAAACATAGCATGAGTAGAAATTTGGGAAACTGTGCTATGAAGAGAAGCAAATAATTTGGTTAGAAGCCAGAGGGAGATACTGTATCAAGGAAAGATGTTTAAGATGAAAGGGATAATTAAAGCATGTTTGTATGTTAATGAGAATCATTCTCAAAAAGAGACATTGATGATATAGATGAGGGAAGGTATATTTGTTAAGCAGTTCTTGCCTCAATTTATTTTTCCTCTTGCATTTTACTATAACAAGCCAGAAAAAACTAGCCTGCATCTTTAACATTTCGCTTGGAAATGTCTTTAGCTAAATATTCAAGTTCATCATTTTACAACTTCTATTTTCCACAAAACTGTAGTACATAATTCTGCGAAGCTTTCCACCTCTATATAAAAAGATTTCCACTTTCTCCAGTTAGTGATAACGTCTTCCTCAGTTTCTTCTGAGCCCTCCCTAAAGTCCATGTTTCTACTAATAGTCTGTTCAAGGTGACTTAGGATTTCTCAATTAAGTTTTTTGTTTAACATTCTTCATGACTTTTCAGCTGTCTAATTCCAAAGCTGCTCCCACAATATAGGTGTTTGTTACAACAGCACCTCACTTTCAGATATCAAAATCTGTATTCATTTTCTATTAATAATAAATGATCACAAACTTAGCAGCTTAAAAAAGCACAATTTGTCATTTTATAGTTCCTGTGGGTCAGGAATCCAGACATGGGTTTGATGGATTCTCTGCTTCCAGTTTCAACAACCTAAAATCCAGGTGTTGGCCTGGGGCTGCAATCTTGTCTGCATCATAACTCCCTTAGGTTGCTAGCAGAATTCAGGTCTTAGTAATTGTAGAACCGAGGTTCTCATTTTCATACTGGGCATCAGCAAAGGGTAATTCTCAGCTTCTAGAGATTGCCCTCTATGTAGACAATGAAGATATTAGGTTAGGGAATGGTGTGGTGAAGATACAGGAGTTCTCATGTGTGGCTTATATTTCCTCTATAAAGTAACAGAACTAGTCACCACTGGGAGAACAGGCCTTTTCTGACTTGTTAGAGTAGAGAGCTTCAGGAATGGCCACTTGGGAATGGGAACCTTATGATACTTGCTTCGTTGTGCGTTTCTTTCGTTTACATTGGATACTAAAAATTGGATCTTGGTTCTCCTGATATTCCAGTTTTCTACCCATTAAAGCATTACCCCAAATAAGACTGTGATGTCAAATTCTGCTTTCATTTTGGGTTCTGCTTCCACCTAAATTCTCCTGCCTGCTCTGGATTTTTTGTAATCTAACCCTGATCCACCAACGTAGACTTGGTACATTGCCTATTACTTCTGCTCTGGCCGCTGGATTCAAAGTACCTGAACTACCTGGCTTACTTCACCTAGCATCCAGCATCTTATGCCATTTTCTTCACTGTTTCATTTGCCAAGTATTTTTTAGATCTCCTCCTCAGCCCTCTGATTTATCATGTTTTTCCTTTTTTTTTTTTTTTCAGCTTATGCCCTCTGCCTTGATATCTGGCTCCCAATTTTATTTGTATGGATTCTACAAGGAAATTTCCAGGTAGCATGTCTCTAAGGTCTCTCAGACCTTTCAAACACATCTGCCCTGGTATGTGACCATATTTTAGTCACTTTTATTTTTCATCTTAATCCAGAGCCTACAGTTCAGTTATATTAGATTTCTTCAATGTTAATCCTATGTGCTTCATCCAGGTCTTTAAACAGTATCTATTTATTCACTTATACATTCATCAATTCAACAAATATTTAGTGAGTACTTTTTATGTCCTAGGTGTGAGATACAGCAGTAAAAACATCTCTGTCCCCATAGAACTGAAACTCAAATAGGGAGAAATATAATAAGTAAATGATCAAGTAAATAATGTAACATCATGTAGTGATAAGTGCTTTGGAAAAATAATATAATGGAAAAGGGGATGGGGAGTGTTAGATCTGTGTTGTTATTTCATATAGAAAGGTTTCCGTAATTACGGAAAGCCTCACTGATAAGGTGTCAATTTACCAGAGACCGGAAGCACGTAAGAAATTGGACCATGTAGATATGTGGAGGATCATTCGAAGCGAAGAAAGATTAAGTGTGGAGACTATGAGCATGACTATGTTTGGCATGATTGAGGAACAGGAGACAAGGACCTGGTGTAAAGTGAGCAGGAAAAAGTATTAAGAACTGAGGTTGTAGAACAGATCATATAGGGCCATATAGGTCAATGTATGAATCTTGTATTTCACTCGGAGGGAGAGCAAACTATAAGAGGGCAAACGCTGAAACAGGGAGATCAGTTAAAAAGCATATTTAATTATCTGAGTGAGAGTGATGTTGACTCCAACCACAGTAGTTGCAGTGGAAATACTGCCTGTAACTCTTATTAATGTCCACCTCAAACTGTCCTAAGCTGTTCTCTCTGAGACCCTCCCTATATTATTTACATATATTAGATATATACATATGCACTTTTGTGTGTGTGTGTGTTCTTATGCGGAGACAGAATGAGTCAGAATGTAAAGGCTTCTACCCATTGACTCCAAAGTTGGCACTCAGCATCTAACAAAAATATTCGTGTCTGCACCCTGCAGCCAGGCAATAGATAAAAGCTTTGAGGCAGTTATCACATGACAGTTGGACATGACACACGAGAGAACAGAGCAATGTCTTTCCACAGAGCAATTTGGCATGCAGGCCTAGAGGATGAGTAGATATGACTTCAGCCATTGTTGGGCTCTGGGGCAATTTCAAGAATCTAAATATATGCTTTTTGTTTGTGAATTTGGTAGACACGAATTGGGTTATTGTTTCTCTTAAGGAACAAGTTGACCTGAGTAAAATTGTAATTTGGGCAAAAAGCCTGAATTTTACGGATGAGCTCTGTAGGCAGTTTATCCAGGTTACTTTGATTCAACATTTTTATGTTGCCAAAAAAGCTGTGAGAAATCTTTTTTTTTTCTTCAAAAGTGTGAAACCCATTACGAAAATCCCTCTTTGATGTTTAAATTACTATATGTCAAAGGTGGAGATCAAACTGTAGCTCTTTCATTTTTTAGTGGGAAAGTGAAAAATGGAGAAATGGTGAGACCTTTCTATTGATCGGGCAGTCCATTTAAATATACTCCACCAAGCTCTGACTTGCCCTCAAGAAAGGCTGTGAGAAGAATTGATCATTCCACAACAGCTATTCAATACATTTCATCTGTTCTTCTTTGAGTCAGTCTATGTAGCTGGGAAGAAAAACAATAAAAAACAAATATATTTACAAAAAACAACTCTGGGCAAGTGTGACACAACCCTTATATTTTAGAAAATTAAAAAATATGATTTTAAAAACAAAAAATATGACAGCTCAGGATCATCATGATTTTACTAATTGTTTATTAACTTTTAATTAATTTATTTATTTTTACTTATTTTTAATTTGTATTTTAAGTTCTGGGATACATGTGCATGTTTGTCATATAGGTAAATTCATGTCATGGGAGTCTGTGGTACAGATGATTTTGTCACCCGGGTATTAAGGCTAGTACACATTAATTAGTTTTCCTGATTGTCTTCCTCCTCCCACCCTTCACTCTGGTATACCCCAGGTTCTGTTGTTCTCCTCTATGTGTCCGTATGTGTTCAACATTTAGCTCCCACTTATAAGTGAGAACATGTGATATTTGGTTTCCTGTTCTTGCATTGGTTTGTTAAGGTTAATGGCCTCTGGCTCCATCCAAGTCCTTGCAAAAAAACATGATCTCTTTCTTTTTTATGGCTATGTTGTATCTATGGAGTATATGTACCTCATTTTCTTTATCCAGTCTACCATTGATAGGCATTTCGGTTGATTCCATGTCTTTGCTATTGCGAATGGTGCTGCAATGAACATACACATGCACGTGACCTTATAACAGAAAGATTTATATTCCTTTGGGTATATACCCAGTAATGGGATTGCTGAAATGAATGATATCTCTGGTTCAAGGTCTTTGAGGAATCACCGCAATGGTTGAACTAATTTACACTTGCACCAACAGTGTATAACTGTTGCCTTTTCTCTTCACCCTTGCCAGCATCTGTTATTTTGTGACCTTTTAATTATAGCCATTCTAACTGGTGTGAGATGGTATTACATTGTGGTTTTGATTTGCATGTAGGGACATGATCAGTGATGTTGAGCTTTTTCCATATGCTTTGTTGGCCACATGTATGTCTTCTTTTGAAAAGTGTTCATGTGTCTTGCCCACTTTTTAATGGGGTTATTTTTTCTTGTAAATTTAAGTTCCTATAGATGCTAAATATTAGACCTTTGTTCGATGCATAGTTTGCAAAAATTTTCTCCCATTCTTTAGGTTCTCTGTTCAACTGTGTTGATAGATTCCTTTGTTTTGCAGAATATCGTTAGCTTTATTAGATCCCATTTATCAATTTTGCTTTTGTTGTGATTGCTTTTGGTGTCTTCATCATGAAATCTTCGCTTGTTCCTATGTTCAGAATGGTATTGCCTAAGTGGCCTTTCAGGGTTTTTTATAGTTTTGGGTTTTACATTAAAGTCTTTAATTCATCTTGAGTCGATTTCTGTATGTGGTGTAAAGAAAGGGTCCAGTTTGAATCTTCAGCATATGGCAGGCTCATTATCCCAGCACCATTTATTGAATGCTAATACCTTTCCTCGTTGCTTGTTTTGTCAACTTTGTTGAAGACCAAATGGTTCTAAGTGTGTGGTCTTTTTTCTGAGATCTCTATTCTGTTTTCTGTTTCATTAGTCTGTTTTTGTACCAGTACCTTCTTTTTTTTTTTTTTTTTTTTTTGCTTAGGATTGCCTTGGCTACTTGGGGCTCTTTTTTTGGTACATATAAATTTTAAAATAGTTTCTTCTAGTTCTGTGAAGAATGTCATTGGAAATTTGATAGGGATAGCATTGAGTCTATAAATTGCTTTGGGCAGTATGGCCATTTTAATAATATCCAAGACAATCCTAAGCCAAAAGAACAAAGCTGGAGGCATCACGCTACCTGACTTCAAACTATACTACAAGGCTACAGTAACCAAAACAGCATGGTACTGCTACCAAAACAGAGATATAGACCAATGGAACAGAACAGAGCCCTCAGAAATAATACCACACATCTACAACCATCTGAACTTTGACAAACCTGACAAAAACAAGAAATGGGGAAAGGATTCCCTATTTAATAAATGGTGCTGGGAAAACTGGCTAGCCATATGTAGATAGCTGAAACTGGATCCCTTCCTTACACCTTACACAAAATTTAATTCAAGGTGGATTAAAGACTTAAATGTTAGACCTAAAACCGTAAAAACCCTAGAAGAAAACCTAGGCAATACCATTCAGGACATAGGCATGGGGAAGGACTTCATGTCTAAAACACCAAAAGCAATGGCAACAAAAGCCAAAATTGACATGTGGGATCTAACTAAACTAAAGAGCTTCCGCACGGCAAAAGAATCTACCATCAGAGTGAACAGGCAACCTACAGAATGGGAGAAAAGTTTTACAATCTACGCATCTGACAAAGGGCTTATATCCAAGATCTACAAAGAACTTAAATTTACAAGAAAAAGATCAACCAACCCCATCAAAAAGTGGGCAAAGGATATGAACAGACACTTCTCAAAGAAGACATTTATGCAGCCAACAGACACATGAAAAAATGCTCATCATCACTGGCTATCAGAGAAATGCAAATCAAAGCCACAATAAGATGCCATCTTACACCAGTTAGAATGGCAATCATTAAAAAGTCAGGAAACAACAGGTGCTGGAGAGGATGTAGAGAAATAGGAACACTTTTACACTGTTGGTGGAAGTGTAAACTAGTTCAACCACTGTGGGAGACAGTGTGACGATTCCTCAAGGATCTAGAACTAGAAATAGCATTTGACCCAGCCATCCCATTACTGGGTATATACCAAAAAGATTATAAATCATGATGCTGCTGCTATAAAGACACATGCACACGTATGTTTACTGCGGCACTATTCACAATAGCAAAGACTTGGAACCAACCCAAATGTCCATCAATGATAGACTGGATTAAGAAAATGTGGCACATATACACCATGGAATACTATGCAGCCATAAAAAAGGATGAGTTCATGTCCTTTGCAGGGACATGGATGAAGCTGGAAACCATCATTCTCAGCAAACTATTGCAAGAACAAAAAGCCAAACACCGCATGTTCTCACCCATTGGTGGGAATTGAACAATGAGAACAGTTGGACACAGGAAGGGGAACATCACACACCGGGGCCTGTCGTGGGGTGGGGGGAGGGGGGAGGGAAAGCATTAGGAGATATATCCAATGTAAATGACGAGTTAATGAGTGCAGCACACCAACATGGCACATGTATACATATGTAACAAACCTGCACGTTGTGCACATGTACCCTAGAACTTAAAATATAATAAAAAAAATTCTTTCTATTTATGATCATGGAATGTTTTTCCATTTGTTTGTATCATCTCTGATTTCTTTGAACAGTGTTTTGCATTCTGCTTGAAAACAGGCACAAGATAAGGATGCCCTCTCTTATGACTCCTATTCAATACAGTATTAGAAGTCCTGGCCAGGGCAGTCAGGAACAAGAAAGAAATAAAGCGTATCCAAATAGGAAGAGAGGAAAGTCAAACTATCTCTGTTTTGCAGACAACATGATTTTATACCTAGAAAACCATATAATCACATCCAAAAAGCTTCTTAAGCTGATGAACAATTTCAGCGAAGTCCCAGAATATAAAGTCAGCATACAAAAATCCATAGCATTCCTATACATCAACAACCGTCAAGTCAGAATTGCAATCCCATTCACAATTGCCAAAAAAATAATTAAATGCCTGCGAGTACAACTAGGGAGGTGAAAGATGTCTATAATTGCTTCTTTTTAAAACATATATTAAAAATAATTTATTTAATTGATAGTGGTTTTAAATGAGGTTTTAATTTTGGGACATAGGTCTGAAGAATTTGATCAAGTAAACAAATATCTCATTGTGCTAACTCACTGTTATGCCACTCCATTCATGTCAAAGGTAGGTTATCTTTAAGTATGTCAGCTCTACATGTCATATGTAAACCAAGCTTCTGTTACTGTGGTAGCCAAGTTCACTACAAGAACGTGGCTAAAAACATCACGTTTAGTTTAACAGGCACTTAATCAGTTCCTACCATGTCTCTTCTATGATGTTAGGCATAATAGGATACACAAAAGTGGTGAACATACTTATACACATGACATAATTAACAATATGAAACTATGCCAGATAAGTTCTAAATTATATATAGTCAGTGACATGGTTTGGCTCTGTGTCCAAATCTCATGTCGAATTGTAATTCCCAATGTTGGGTGAGTGAACTGGTAGGAGGTGATTGGATCATGGGGGTGGATTTCCCCTTTGCTGTTCCTGCGATAGTGAGTTAGTTTTCATGAGATCTGGTTGTTTAAAAGTGTGTAGCACCTCCCCATTCTCTCTCTCTCTCCTGTTGTCATGTGAAGATATGACACTTCCCTTGCTTCCCTTTTGCCTTCCACCATGATTGTAAGTTTCCTGAAGCCTCCCCAGCCATGCCTCCCGTGAAGCCTGAGGAACGGTGAGTCCATTAAACTTCTTTTCTTTATCAACTATCCAGTCTCAGGTAGTTATTTATAGCAATGTGAGTACAGACTAATACAGGTACAAGGTGAGAGCAGACTAATACAGGTACAAGGATGTGAAAATATTAAGTGCGTTGAGCACTCAGGAAAGAAAGGGAAATAGGTTTTGACTGGATTGCTTAGGAATTTTTACCTCTATTTGACAACTCAGTGCTGAGTAACAGTGCACATGTTGTTTTTTCAGGCAGTACTCATGGTGCTGGGGATCCAGATATGATGAAGACCTTATCTCAGCTGTCTAGGATGGCAGTGTTTACTAGAAATATAATGTTAGCTATATATGCAATTGTAAATTGTCTATTAGCCACATTAAAAAAAAAGCAATAGATGACCATATTAAAACATTTTATTTAACAGGGTGTGTCTAGTATATTATCATTTAACATCTCATAAGACAAAGGTGATATGTTGCATTCTTTTTTCCTTTTACATTTTCGAAATTCACTGTAGATTTTACACCTACTGCATATCTCAAGTTGAACCAACCACAATTCAAGTGCACAATAGCTACTGTCAGATGGAAGGAGAAGACAAAAATACCTTAGGAAGTGACATTTGTATAATAGCCACTATGATGCAATTAGTTTTAGAGTCACAGATGATAGGAGGAAGAGAGATTATTTTCTACAATTGACCACTTTTACTTTATGGATAAATTATTCTAAACAGTGATGTCTATTTATTGCCTCAATTTTCCTCCTTCCCATTTATGGCTTTCTTCCTATAACTTGTCTTCTCTTTCCCCATCAACCCACCAAAACTCTTCTACAAAAGCTGACCTCCCACCCCTCAAATTGCTCTATAGCAAGGCCTCTTAAACTTGAATCCATGTACCAATCACCTGGAGATCTTGATAAAGTGCAGATTCTAATTCAGTTGGTCTGGGGTGGAGCTTGAGATTCTGTGTTTTTAATAAGCTCCCTTGAGATGCTGATGTTACATTCCCAGGAACCACATTTTGAGTATCAAGAGTCTATGTCAATCATGGTTTAGTTAGAAATACGGAACCACTCTAGGTACTTTAGCAGGGGTATACCATCCAAGGAAGTTTATGCTCAAAATATCCTAGGAATGGAGCAAAGATCAGGAAAGATGAGGACATGAGGAAGTATAACAATGGTAAGAAACTGTCAACCGTGTTCTTAGCAGCCTGCAGCATCAAAAAGAGATTGCTCAGAGGCACCGCAAGCCTTACATCTGCCATCTGCTCCTGCTTTTTCTTTTCTTTTGCCTTCCAAATATCATAGAACATTGATGGCAAGGAAGTCTGGGAAATTTAGTTTCCAGTCCTGCAGCCCCTGAGAAAAAGAGTGATGAGGGGTAGTGTTGAGTATCAACAACAACATCTGACCCACATTTCCCTTGAGGTTCCAACCTCAACTCACTCCTATTCTTCCTGCTTGTGCCCTGTCACTCTCTCTTTTACACTCACATACACACACACACGCAAATACACACTCAGTTATGTTCTCTTATATATCTAAATAAGAACATCTAGAATCCTTTCAACAACATGCAAATGGTCACTAAATCCTGTCAAATTTTCAACTTTGCCTTTAGAATTTTCCCTTCTTTCCATTCACGTCATCATTTTGTTTGGCTCTTATTGCTTTATATTTGGACAATAACAATAGACTTTTTAGCTGCTTGTCTTCATTGGCTTGCTTCTGGTCTGCTAATCCCTATCCCTCATCTTTCCTGACATGGTTTGAATCTGTGTCCCCACCCAAATCTCATGTTTAATTGTAATCCCCAGTGTTGGAGGTGGGACCTGGTGAGAGGTGATTGGATCATGGGGCGAGTTTCTTATGAATGGTTTGGCATCATGATAAGTACTGTTCTTTCTCGTGATAGTGAGTGAGTGAGTTATCATGAGTTCTGTTTTTTTTTTTTAAGTGTGTAGCACTTACCTGCTATTTCACTTTCTTCTGCTCCAGTGAAGTGAAGTGCTGTGTCCACCTTCACCTTCCGCCATGATTCTAAGTTTCCTGAGGCCTCCCCAGAAACAGAAGTTGCCATTATTCCTGTACAATCCACAAAACTGTGAGCCGGTTAAACTTCTTTTCTTATAAATTACCAAGTCCCAGGTATTTCTTAATAGCAGTGTGAGAACAGATTAATACATTCCTTTTTTCCCATGTACTGATACCAGGATCAAAAGGAGCTATCGATATCTGAATTAATTCTGTCAGTGAGATTAGCTAATTTATTCACTGATGTTATAAGGAACATTGTTTAAAATGGGTGCACAGAATGAGAGCCCTTAAAGACCCTCTGGGATACAAGAGGGTGCAGTGGGGCCAACATGAGCCTGGGGCCAAAAAGCCTGAGTTCTTATTTTCCTCTGCTCTCGCTTACTATGTGGATTTGGACAAGTTTCTTCCTTTCTCCAAGACTCCTTTCTTCCTGATGTAAAGTTAGGTGAGTAGGCTAAACTATAATTTCCCAGCCTTTTTTTCCTTCTCTGTTGACACATAACTTCCAAAACACATACTGTATCATGTTTGGTTTGGGGACTAAATGCGTGTTACAATAACTAAATTAGAAACATCACCTCATCTGATTAGGAAACATAATAGGTAGTTTTATTTCATTCTTCTTATAATAATGAATTCAGCATTTGCCTTCATATAATGTGTACTTTGAAATAATGTGTTATGGAAAAGGGTACCACATCCAATTGTTTTACCAAATTGTCACCAGAGAGCCATAGTAGCTCCTTTGCCTGGAAAAACAAATTCTTCTGCAAAATAATGGGCTTCCTCTGTTTTCTTCCATTTTTGCAATTTGCTAGACCAATGAATGAAATGATTTAAAAATGTCTGGATTACTGATTGATAAATATAGATGTTTGAAAAACTTGTTCTCTGTAGTTAACAATCAATTGTTTATTTTTACAATGTGGATCAGTTGCTAAATATTGACACAAAAGAAAGAATTTCAAGCAGCTGTTTGAAAGAAATTCTCCACAAATGATGCTTTCTGCCTGTGTATAGCTTTTATTACTTATAAAGGAATAGACAAATTATATATTCATTACATTGCCTCTTTCTAAGATTGGCTTTTGAAGTCCTAGAGATAGGGTGATGTATTATATAAAAATGTTAACGAGTGATAAGTCACGTATCACTGAAGGCAAATTAGAAAAATTATCATTTCTATACTCTTCTGTCACATGCTGTATATCATCATCAGTGTTCCCTACGTTTTTCTGTCTTTAACTTGGTCTATTAAAGGTGGAAATTAAACATACATGATGTAATGGTCTGAGTGTTTATGCACTCCCAAAATTTATATGTTGAAACCTAATACTCAATGTGAGAGTATTTGGAGGAGGGGCTGTTGGAACGTAATTAGTGTCCTTATAAAAGAGGCCCAAAGGAGCTTGTTTGCTTCTTCCACTATGTGAGAACATAGTCTATGAGGAAGTGGGCCCTCACCAGACACCAAATTGTCTAACACTTTGATCTTGGACTTCTCAGCCTCCAGATCTGTGAGAAAGAAACTTCTGTTGTTTATAAGCTACTCAGCCTCTGGTTTTTATTACAGAAACTTGAATAAAATAAGGCACATGATAAGCATAAACGAAGTTTCTATTATGTACCAATCAGAATCCTGAAGTCAGCTGATGGTTACAAAAATGCATTGGGAGCAATCTCATCTATCTGACCAACCACTATATGCCCATTTGATATATATTATTTAAAGGAAACCCAAACATTAAATTAATTATTTTACAGTCAGTGGATTTTTACAAATAGAAATTGAAACAGACACAGTAACCACCATTACTACATATATCTTCAGGACACATTTGCAGGTCTCTGAAGATTTACGGGAAACACTTGGGTGCATGATCTCTAAGGGCTCTTTCAGCTTTTTTTTTTTTCCTCTTCCAACTTTAACTCTTTTATTTTTTTTGGAGACAGAGTCTTGCTCTGTTGCCCAGGCTGGAGTGCAATGGCGTGATCTCGGCTCACCATAACCTCCGCCTCCCAGATTCAAGTGATTCTCCTGACTCAGCCTCCCAAGTAGGTGGGACTACAGGTGCATGCCACCACGCCTGGCTAATTTTTTGTACTTTTAGTAGAGACAGGGCTTCACCGTGTTAGCCAGGATGGTTGCGATCTCCTGACCTCGTGTTCCACCTGCCTCAGCCTCCTGTTGAGGTGGGCCTACAGGTGCATGCCATCACGCCTGGCTAATTTTTTGTACTTTTAGTAGAGACAGGGTTTCACTGTGTTATCCAGGATGGTCTCAATCTCCTGACCTCGTGATCCACCTGCCTCGGCCTCCCAAAGTGCTGGGATTACAGGCATGAGCCACCTCAACCAGCCCCAACTTTATCTTTTTATGTGTCTATGGGTTAAATCGCTAAAGGACTCCATGAGCTGGAGAGATGCAAATTACTGTACCACATAGGAATTCTGGTAGTTATGGTTGTTATGATTATCAAGTCTAAATATTTTGGAATCCTTAATTTCAGTTGTCTTGAGAAATAGTATGCATTTGCCATAATGCAGTGGCTTGCTGACACTTTCTCTCTCACTTTGGTTGAGTTATTACATTGTGTTGAGAAATTCTAGGAGGGCAAGAGAGGAGCCATTTTGAAAGAAAGCAGGGAGGACATGCTAAATAAAGGAGAAAAGACCATTTGACATTTCTAAAGGTAAATTAAGTGTTATAAAAAATGTCAAAAGGAAGTGATACTTTATCTCAAGGTTATTTGATTTCTGTTTTTGATTCAAGGGTGCCTTTTTCCTCATCTTGGTATTGTGAGAAGATATTGTATTGGACATTTCACAAGAAATGTCAATTCAGTGGTTATTTTCATTTATATGTTTTAACATAGCTTGTTAAAAGTGTAAGAAAATCTTGACTATTTAGCCCCAAAATAAACCAGGCCAGACTGAAACAAATAGCAAATAAACAAGCAAAGATAAAAACATTTTTGCCTTCTGGTCCTTACCAACCTGTCTGACTTTGTTCTGTGTTTTCTTAGTTTCTGTATTTGTCTACCTGGTGTTCTTTAATCACAAGGCCAAACTAATGGCCAAAGTGGTTTACATCTCCCTTGCTATCCAGCTTTCATGGGTGTGTGAAAATCATATTACAAGCCCTCCAAACAATCCCAAGTCCATATCCTCAACCACCTCCTTTGTGTAACTCTCACACACCAAGCGAATATTTGTCCTGCCCTAAATCACCCAGAACCAAGTAACAGATAAGTAGATGCCATCTTTATAGCTTAGAACCCACTGACATTATTAAATCTAGAAAACCCTGAGCTCTTTCTTCAGGCTGGAAAGCACAATAAAGGCTCTTGGCCATGCTTTCTCTTTAGTCCTGCTTCTGCCTCCCGACCAAACCTGTGTTTCCCTATGTGGCATGCATGTGTTCCCTGCATGATATGGTAGGCTATTTCTCTCAAGAACTGTAAGTAATAAAAATCTTTTTTTAATGGCATTGGTCTCTCCATGTCATCAGTTAGCCACTTCCATAAATGAAAATCCCACTGGTACATTCTAACACAGGCTTGAAGCCACTCTTGTCAGGATTTCACCTCCAGCACTCCAATAAAGACTGTTCTTGTCAAGATCACCAGTGACCTTCATGTTGCCAAACCCAATGGTCAAATCTCTATCCCCAGCTTACTTGGCCATTTAGCAGCATCTGGTCCAGTGGATTGCTTCCCTCTTCCTTCTAACACTGTATTCATTCATGAGGCTGAGATTGGGGAAAAAAACTGGGTGCTTTGCTTGACTCAGGCACAAAATTTTAGGGGCATGCCAGAAACCTAGTAATCAATATAAATAATACTTTGATGTAACATTTGAAAGAGTTAAAATCAATTAAAATATCTATGACAAACAAAACATCAAAATTTTAAATAAAGATGATATTTAATAGTGCTGGGCTAAGCCATAATGGAGCTATGGAGCCTGAGGCCCCTTACACGTACTCCTGTGTATATGGGGGTGTGTGTGTGTGTATGTATGTATATTCTTTTATATTTATATATTTTAATGTATTTGTATTAGTCCATTTTCATGCTGCTGTGAAGAAATACCTGAGACTGGGTAATTTATAAAGAAAAGAGGTTTAATTGCCTCACAGTTCCACATGGCTGGGGAGGCCTCAGAAAGCTTACAATCATGGCAGTAGGGACCTCTTCACAGGGTGGCAGGAGAGAGAATGAGAGCCCAGTGTAGGGGGAAGCCCTTTATAAAACCATCAGATCTTGTGAGAACTTATTCACTATCACTATCATGAGAACAGTGTGGGAAAAGCCACCCCCATGATTCAGTTATCTCCAACTGTCCCACCGTTGACATGTGGGATTAGTACAGTTCAAGGTGAGATTTGGGTGGGGACACAGAGCCAAATAATATCATTCCACACCTGGCCCCTCACAAATCTCATGTCCTCATATTTCAAAACACAATCATGCCCTTCTAACAGTCCCCAAAACACTTAACTCATTCCAGCATTAACCGAAAGTCCAAGTCCAAAGTCTCATCAGAGATAAGGCAAGTCCCTTCCGCCTATCAGTCTGAAAAATCTAAAGTAAGTTAGTTGCTTTCTAGATACAATGGAGGTACAGGCACTGGGAAAATACACCTGTTCCAAATGGGAGACATTAGCCAAAACAAAGGGGCTACAGGCCCCATGCAAGTCCAATAGGGAAGTCATTAAGCCTAAAAGTTCCAAAATGATCTCTTTCAACTCCATGTCTCACATCCAGGTCACGCTGATGCAAGAGGTGGGTTCCCATGATCTTGGGCAGCTCCACCCTGTGGTTTTGCAGGGTACAGCCCCCCTGCTGGCTGCATTCATGGGCTTGGGTTGAGTGTCTGTGGCTTTTCCAGGTGCAGGGTGCAAGCTGTCAGTGGATCTACCATTCTGGGATATGGAGAATGGTGGCCATCTTCTCAAAGCTCCACTAGGCTGTGCCCCAGTGGTGACTTTATGTAGGGGCTCTGACCCCACGGTTTCCTTCCACATTGCTGTAGCAGAGGTTCTCCATGCAGGATCTACCACTGCAGTAGACTTCTGCCTGGACATCCAGGCATTTCCATACATCTTCTGGAATCCAGGTGGAGGTTCCCAAACCTCAATTCTTGTTTTCTGTATGCTTGCAGAACCGACACCACCTGGAAGCTGGCAAGGCTTGGGGCTTGCACCCTCTGAAGTCACAACACAAGCTGTACTTTGGCCCTTTTTAGCCATGGCTGGAGTGTCTGGGACACAGGGCACCAAGTCCTGAAGATATACATAGCAGGTGGGCCCTGGACCTGGCAGGAAACCACTTTTCCCTCCTAGGCCTCTGGGACTGTGATGAGAGGGGCTGCCACAAAGATCTTTGACATGCCCTGGAGACATTTTCCCCCATTGTCTTGGTGATTAGTATTTGGCTCCTAGTTACTTATGCAAATTTCTGCAGCCAGCTTGAATTTCTCCCCAGAAAATGGGTTTTTCTTTTTTATCACATTGTCAGGCTACAAATTTTTCAAACTTTCATGCCCTGCTTCCTCTTGAACATTTTGCCACTTAGAAATTTCTTCTGCCAGATACCCTAAATCATCTCTCTCAAGTTCAAAGTTCCACAGATCTCTAGAGCAGAAGCACACTGCTGCCAGTCTCTTTGATAAAGCATAGCAAGAGTGACCTGTACTCCAGTTCCCAATGAGCTCCTCATCTCCATCTGAGACCACCTCAGCCTGGACTTCATTGTCCCTATCACTATAAACATTTTGGTCAAACCCATTCAACAAGTCTATAGGAAGTTCCAAACTTTCCCACATCTTTCTGACTTCTGAGCCCTCCAAACTGTTCCAACCTCTGCCTATTACCCAGTTCCAAATTTGCGTCCACATATTCAGGTAGCTGTACAGCAGCGCCCCACTATTTGGTACCAATTTACTGTATTAGTCCGTTTCCATGCTGCTATGAAGAAATACTCGAGAATGGGTAATTTATAAAGAAAAGAGGTTTAATTGACTCACAGTTCTGCATGGCTGGGAAGGCCTCAGGAAACTTACCCAATTATGTCAGAAGGCACCTATTCACAGGGCGGCAGGAGAATGAATAAGTGCTGAGGAAAGGGGCAACCCCCTTATAAAACCATCAGATCTTGTGAGAACTCACTCACTCTCACAAGAACAATATGGGGGAAACTGCCCCCATGATTCAATTATCTCCACCTGGTTCTACCCTTGACATGTGGGGATTATTACAATTCAAGGTGAGATTTGGGTGGGGACACAGAGCCCAACTATGTCAGTATTTTTACCAGAACATTAAAGTATTTAAAACATATTGAAAACTTGAAAAGTAAGTCTAGTAAAAGTCATAACATTATCTAAGGTTTAAATGTTTATATCCAAATTGTTAAAATATTTTCACTTTACTGGCCACAGTGGAAGTAAGCTCATATACATAACATTTCAAAATCAACTTTTTTCATCTACTTTAATATTCTGGGGACAAAAAAGACAATTTAAAAAGTACATCCAAAACTTGTATATTCAGTGGAACACTTTTGCTTTTGCCTCATCTTCCACGACAGCTTGGCCCAGCACTGTTGACTTGTCTTCCAGGAACCCACACTCTCCAGGTCTTCCTCTTCCTTCACTGGCAATTGCTTCTCAGTTCTGCTTTATTGGCTTCTCCTCCTCTCCTTCATGTCTGAGGGTTCTAGTGCTCCAAGACTCCATCTGGTCCTATCTACCCTCACTCCTAGTCATATCCATGGATTGAAATGCTTTCTGTATTTATATCCTCAGTACAGACCTCTTTTATGTGACAGATTTCAGGTCTGAGAGAGAATATATTTTTCCCCTTTCCCTATTATTCTGGGACTTAGAATCCTTGCCTGAATTATCTTTCACAGTTGCAAGTTGATATGTTGGCAAATTAAACCCTGGTTCGAATTCTCCAAAAATCAGTTGTTCAGTGGAAAGCATCATCCCAGTCATCCACATAGCCCTCTGTCTACCACTTGTCCCAACACCTCTTCCAGAATTACCTACCTTAACTCCAGCACCAGAGAATAAGCAATGGAAACATGCAGGCAGAGTAGGGGATAAGATAGAGAGAGGACCGGGGTGTGTGTATAAATATAAATATATACATATATGCCATCTATATATGCATATATATTATATATAAATATATGCACATATATCCATAATCATATATATTCATATACATATAATACATAATATAGATGAGATAGATCAATATAAAATAATATAGGTTTCCAGTAAGACTTATGTCTGTACTGAGCTCTAAATTCCTGCACCCAACTCAAATTTCTGAGGCACACTAGCCACTTTGCCTCTATTCCTCATCCTATAGCTTTCCAAAATGTGCCAATGACTTTTATACCTATTCTTAAGGAAATACTCTCAGGTTTAATAAAACAAATAAAGAGGGGCACAATCGCATCATCTAGATACTGCAGGTTTAATAAAACAAATAAAGAGGGGCACAATCACATCATCTAGATACTGCAGGTTATATAGTCGAAAGAGTGTTGAACAGGATTCTCTTTTCAACCTGAATCTTCCTGATACCACCATTTGGGCCTTAGCTTGGCATCTGTATTAGTCCATTTTTCATGCCGTTGGTAAAGACATACCGGAAACTGGGAAATTTACAAAAGTAAGAGGTTTAATGGATTTAGAGTTCCACATGGCTGGGGAAGCCTCACAATCATGGTGGAAGGCAAGGAGGAGCAAGTCACGTCTCACATAGATGGCAGCAGGCAAAGAAAGAGAGCTTGTACAGGGGAAATCCTCTTTATAAAACCATTAGATCTCATGAGACTTATTCACTATCACAAGAACAGTATGGAGGAAACTGCCCGCATGATTCAGTTATCTCCTACTGGATTCCTCCCACAACTCATGGGAATTATGGGAGTGCAATTTAAAAATGAGCTTTCAGGGGAGAAACAGCCAAACCCTATCAGCATCCTCTGGTCACAGATGGAGAACTTCAACAAAAGAAGCAGTCATATTAGCTGTGTACTTCATTTAAATGAGCAAGGAAGTTTATCCTAGTCATTCCCATCAGTCTACGAGGCTTTAGTAAACCCTACATCAAAGTGCTCAGTTTTTAACTGGATTATAGTCAAGAAAACCTTGTTCAACCATCAAAAATATTCAAAATATCAAATTATTGAAATGAATGAAAAGAAATAAGATTATATTCTGTTGAAACATTTACGTATATCATCTTCTTTTCCTATTTTATTTTTCTCACATCACCAAGTTTTTCCTCGATTGTCACTGTATCACCCCAAGGGAGACTATATGCCATTTGGATGCTGTTTGCAATGCACTGTAGGAACTGGACACCAAAGGTGCAACTGTCACAGTAGCTGGGTGCTGGAGAATCTGTCCACCTTGTAGGAGATGGGCAGCAGGAAATCTGCCTGCAATTTGGGAGCTGAGTACTGGGGAAGGTGCCCACGCTGCAGGAGCTAGGTAGATGCTGAAGCAGAAACTACCTTACTGCAAGATCCTATCAAGAGAGCACACAGGAACCAGAAAACAAAATTCCTTTCTCCAGTGATGTCTCCTCAGTGCCCTCTATTGACCAAACAACATCATGCCAGTTGAGAGGAAAAATATTTAAAGGGTCCAGACCCATTTTCACAGAGGAGGCTATAACAGTCAATTTGGAGCTGAAAGGCATTAAATCCATAGCCAGCACAGAATCTCAAATGTAATATGTCCAAAATTTAACTCTTTATTCACCATCACCAACATCCCATCTCTTCCTACTCCTGGCTTCCACATGTCTGTAAATGCTAACTCCATTCACTTAGTTGTCAAGCCAGAAAACTCAGTTATTTTGTATTCCTATGTTTTCCTCACTCTGTATATCCAATCCATTGCCACGTACTCTCAGGGATACCTCCCTAATATGGCTTTTATATCCACTTTTCTTCAGTTTCACTACTCTCACTGTGGTCTAAATAATCATGACCTCATTTTTGAAGCAGTTCTCTAACTCTTCTCCATGCTTCTATTCTTGTTCTCCCTATCTATATAGTAGAGAAAGTCAGCTTTCATGAAATGTAATTCCAGATTATGCCATTCTCCTATGTAGAACTCCAGTAGGCTTCCTGAGTCTCTCAGAATACATTGAACTTTACCAGGGACTACAACATCTTACATGATCTGACACAGTACTCTCTGTGTCCTCTTTTCCTATTCATATCTCTCTTCCTCACTCTGCTTCAGCCTCATTGGCCTGTTTCATGTTCTTAAAGAAGCCTAGACTCCTTCCTATATAAGGGTTTTTGCACTTACTGCTTCCTCTGTCTGGGGACAATAATCCCATGTAATGTCTCATGGCTTACTTCTTTGTGTCATCTGCATTTCTGCTCAAAGATTGTCTCTTCTTCAGCGAATCTAAAGTAAATCGCATTTAGTCATTAATTATCCTCTTATCTTGCTTTATTTTTATTCATACCACATATTACAATCTAACCTATTATGTAGATAAAACATTATTATATATGTATACCTTATATATGCACATTAATGTGTATACATATACACACACATACACGTATATATTTACTTATTTCCTTGTTTATTGCTTTTCTCTCATCACTAGATAATAAGACACACGAGAGAAGAAACCTTATCTGTCTTGTTTTCAGATATATCGTAATATCTAGAATAGTGTCTGGCACATAGTAGTCACTCAATAAATATCGAGTAAATGAGTGAATGAAACTGTAATTTATACATTTCCTTTTATGTACTTTACATATTTAGGCTTTATTATTGATGAGAAAGGGGGCATTTCATTAAAATCTTGCATGATGATGAAATAGTTTGTCTAACAATTTTCATCAATAAATCATCAAAGCTAGCATACACACTCATATATGTAATATTAAAACACAGTGAAATAATGTAATATGTTATCCAGGTGATAGTACATGCTTAAATTCTTTCTATGATATCACCCATAAGTGGTTGTCTGATGTATTCTTGACTACTTTTATTAATATTTCTATTAATGGAGGAACTCACTACCACACAAGGTAGCATACTTCACTGATAAGGAGCTAAGGAATGGCAAGTTGTTTCTAATACACATCTTGAATACTCCTTTCTTCAGCTCTCACCAGATTTGGGAATCAGAAGACCATAGTTAGAAATCTACTTCTGCCATCCAGTACTTCTGTGACCCGAAACAAGTTATTTGACATTTCTGAGTCTCAGGTTTTTATCTGTAAAATGGGGATAATTATCCTTACCACCCAGAATTATTGGGTAGACTAAATGAGAGAAAATATCCAAACATCTACCATGGTGCCAGGTGCTCAGGAGGTATTCAATAAATGTCACTTGAATTGCTCTTTCTTTCATTCCAAATTTTCTCTGTTTATGGCAGGTGTGTTACTATAGGCCCACTATATACACACCAAGATATCTCTCATGATGAAAGTATATGTTACCATTTCAGTGGCTGTAGCCAATTACATTTTTAAAATAACTTTAGATGAAGCAGGTAAGCATGTAAGGCTAAATAAAAGCGTAATTTCAATGTGTTTTATTATGCCTTCTCAGTTGATTAAAGCAAACATACTAAAAATGTATTTCCCCATAGTCTATCAGGTAGCCAATGTGGTTCCTTTTATTTGAAATTTAGTTGAGCAAGAAACATTAGATTAACTCATCTGACTAGATTTTCTGGTGTGTTCCCTCTACGTATACAAATGAAGGGGATATTTTTCTTCCCCTTCTTGGAGGGTTCTGAGTCCTAAATCCTCACCTGCCATTCATTTATCCTTGGACTTTGTGTCAGGTGACTCTCCTGCAAGGCATGTCAGCAATCTTCTCTTTCCTTCCACAACGTATGTCAGGAGACAGAGCTCATAGACCTTGCTATGGGACAAATCCTTTAGAATTGGTAGCATGTCATATCCCCAGAATTGGGGAAACCTGAAGCCATCAAACCAGACCTAAAAGATCTCGGTAACTTCTGCCAGACTCATGATGTGAATTTGTTCCCTGCTCTAGTGCAGAGGAGAAGCTGGTCTTTCTGAAACTGTCATTTCCAGATACCTTATAGCTTTTAAGTGTATTACTGTTCCTCTAAATTTAAATATAAAATTTTGTGACCCAGAAATGCCACTTCTACATATATACTCAAGAGAATTTTAAACACATGTTTACACAAACATGTGAACATGAATGTTCATAGCCTCATTGTTTACAGTAGTCAAAAAGTGGAAGCAACCCAAATGTGAAGCTACTAATTAATGAAATAAACAAAATATGGCATAGCAATACAGTAGAATATCATTTGGCCATAATAAGGACTGAAATACTGCTACAACAGAAAGTACTTCCTGCAATATGTATTAATATTGAAAACGTTACACTAAATAACAAAGCCCATAACAAAAGATTAGGGAGGGGAATGGAAAGGAACTGCTGATGGATTTATTTTGGAAATGATGCAAATATCATCAAATTGATTGTGGTGATGGGCACACAACTTAATGACCACTGAATTGTATACCTTATATAGGAGAATTGTATGGTATGGATTTATATCTCAATAAGGCTGTTTCAAAAAGTTCTATTACTGACTCCTTGGATGCCAGGTCCAAGAATCCTTTGGACTCCTTAGTACAGTTTGAAAAGTCACATTGGCTGACATCTACCTTTTCAGCGAATGAAGTGCTATGTAATAGGACTTTAAAATAGAATGAAAGCTCAGACTACAGTGTTCTTGACTTGTGTATCTGAAAATGTCTGAAAAGTTCACTACAAATCCCAGGTCAGTTTTCATATGGATTGTTGCCTCATTCTGCCACTAGCTCTATTTTTCTTTCTTTCTTTTTTTTTTTATTATACTTTAAATTCTAGGGTACATGTGCACAACGTGCAGGTTTGTTACATATGTATACATGTGCCATGTTGGTGTGCTTCACCCATTAACTCGTCATTTACAATAGGTATTTCTCCTAATGCTATCCCTCCCCCAAACCCCCATCCCACAACAGGCCCCGGTGTGTGAAGTTCCCCACCCTGTGTCCAAGTGTTGTCATTGTTCAATTCCCACCTATAAGTGAGAACATGTGGTGGTTAGTTTTCTGTCCTTGTGATAGTTTGCTCAGAATGATGGTTTCCAGCTTCATCCGTGTCCCTACAAAGGACATGAACTCATCCTTTTTTATGGCTGCATAGTATTCCATGGTGTATATGTGCCACATTTTCTTAATCCAGTCTATCATTGATGGACATTTGGGTTGGTTCCAAGTCTTTGCTATTGTGAATAGTGCCACAATAAACATACGTGTGCATGTGTCTTTATAGCAGCAGCAGCATGATTTATAATCTTTTTGGTATATACCCAGTAATGGGATGGCTGGGTCAAATGGTATTTCCAGTTCTAGATCCTTGAGGAATCGTCACACTGTCTTCCACAGTGGTTGAACTAGTTTACACTTCCACCAACAGTGTAAAAGTGTTCCTAATTCTCTACATCCTCTCCAGCACCTGTTGTTTCCTGACTTTTTAATGATCGCCATTCTAACTGGTGTAAGATGGCATCTTATTGTGGCTTTGATTTGCATTTCTCTGATAGCCAGTGATGATGTGCATTTTTTCATGTGTCTGTTGGCTGCATACACGTCTTCTTTGAGAAGTGTCTGTTCATATCCTTTGCCCACTTTTTGATGGGGTTGGTTGATCTTTATCTTGTAAATTTGTTTAAGTTCTTTGTAGATCTTGGATATAAGCCCTTTGTCAGATGGGTAGATTGTAAAACTTTTCTCTCATTCTGTAGGTTGCCTGTTCACTCTGATGGTAGATTCTTTTGCCGTGCGGAAGCTCTTTAGTTTAATTAGATCCCACATGTCAATTTTGGCTTTTGTTGCCATTGCTTTTGGTGTTTTAGTCATGAAGTCCTTGCCCATGCCTATGTCCTGAGTGGTATTGCCTAGGTTTTCTTCTAGGGTTTTTATGGTTTTAGGTCTAACATTTAAGTCTTTAATCCATCTTGAATTAAATTTTGTATAAGGTGTGAGGGAGGGATCCAGTTTCAGCTTTCTACATATGGCTAGCCAGTTTTCCCAGCACCATTTATTAAATAGGGAATCCTTTCCCTGTTTCTTGTTTTTGTCAGGTTTGTCAAAGATCAGATGGTTGTAGATGTGTGGTATTATTTCTGAGGGCTCTGTTCTGTTCCATTGGTCTATATCTCTGTTTTGATAGCAGTATCATGCTGTTTTGGTTACTTTAGCCTTGTAGTATAGTTTGAAGTCAGGTAGCGTGATGCCTCCAGCTTTGTTCTTTTGGCTTAGGATTGTCTTGGCAATTCGGGCTCTTTTTTGGTTCCATATGAACTTTAAAGTTTTTGGTTCCATATGAACTTAAAGTAGTTTTTTTCCAATTCTGTGAAGAAAGTCATTGGTAGCTTGATGGAGATGGCATTGAATGTATAAATTACCTTGGGCCATATGGCCATTTTCACGATATTGATTTTTCCTATTCATGATCATGGAATGTTCTTCCATTTGTTTGTGTCCTCTTTTATTTCATTGAGCAGTGGTTTGTAGTTCTCCTTGAAGAGGTCCTTCACATCCCTTGTAAGTTGGATTTCTAGGTATTATATTCTCTTTGAAATAACTATGAATGGGAGTTCACTCATGATTTGGCTCTCTACCTGTTATTGGTGTATAGGAATGCTTGTGATTTTTGCACATTGCTTTTGTATCCTGAGACTTTGCTGAAGTTGCTTATCAGCTTAAGGAGATTTTGGGCTGAGACGATGGAATTTTCTAAATATACAATCATGTCATCTGCAAACAGGGACAATTTGACTTCTTCTTTTCATAATTGAATACCCCTTATTTCTTTCTCTTGCCTGATTGCCCTGGCCAGGTCTTCCAACACTATGTTGAATAGGAGTGGTGACAGAGGGCATCCCTGTCTTGTGCTGGTTTTCAAAGTGAATGCTTCCTGTTTTTGCCTATTCAGTATGATATTGGCTCTGGGTTTGTCTTATTATTTTGAGATACATCCCATCAATACCTAGTTTATTGAGAGTTTTTAGCATGAAGGGCTGTTGAATTTTGTTGAAGGCCTTTTCTGCATCTATTGAGATAATCATGTGGTTTTTGTCTTTGGTTCTGTTTATATGGTGGATTACCCTTATTGATTTGTGTCTGTTGAATCAGCCTTGCTTCCCGGGGATGAAGCCAACTTGATCATGGTGGATAAGCTTTTTGATGTGCTGCTGGATTCAGTTTGCCAGTATTTTATTGAGGATTTTTGCATCGATGTTCATCAGGGATATTGGTCTAAAATTCTCTTTTTTTGTTGTGTCTCTGCCAGGCTTTGTTATCAGGATGATGCTGGCCTCATAAAATGAGTTAGGGAGGATTCCCTCTTTTTCTATTGATTGGAATAGTTTCAGAAGGAATGGTACCAGCTCCTCTTTGTAACTCTGGTAGAATTAGGCTGTAAATCCGTCTGGTCCTGGACTTTTTTTCGTTGGTAGGCTATTAATTATTGCCTCAATTTCAGAGCCTGTTTTTGGTCTATTCAGAGATTCAACTTCTTCCTGGTTTAGTCTTGGGAGGGTGTATGTGTCCAGGAATTTACCCATTTCTTCTAGATTTTCTAGTTTTTATTTGCATAGAGGTGTTTATAGTATCCTTTGATGGTATTTTGTTTTTCTGTGGGATTGGTGGTGATATCTCCCTTATCATTTTTTTATTACGTCTATTTGATTATTCTCTCTTTTCTTCTTTATTAGTCTTTCTAGCGGTCTATTTTGTTGATCTTTTAAAAAAACCAGCTCCTGGATTCACTGATTTTTTGAAGGGTTTTTTTGTGACTCTATCTCCTTCAGTTCTGCTCTGATCTTAGTTATTTCTTGCCTTCTGCTAGCTTTTGAATGTGTTTGCCCTTGCTTCTCTAGTTCTTTTAATTGTGATGTTAGGGTGTCAATTTTAGATCTTTCCTGCTTTCTCTGGTAGGCATTTAGTGCTATAAATTTCCCTTTACACATTGCTTTAAATGTGTCCCAGAGATTCTTCTATGTTGTGTCTTTGTTCTCATTGGTTTCAAAGAACATCTTTATTCTTCATTTCGTTATTTACCCAGTAGTCATTAAGGAGCAGGTTGTTCAGTTTCCACGTAGTTGTGCAGTTCTGAGGTAGTTTCTTAATCCTGAGTTCTAGTTTGATTGCACTGTGGTCTGAGAGACAGTTTGTTATGATTTCTGTTTTTTACATGTGCTGAGGAGTGCTTTACTTCCAACTATGTGGTCAATTTTGGAATAAGTGTGATGTGGTGCTGAGAAGAATGTATATTCTGTTGATTTGGGGTGGAGAGTTCTGTAGATGTCTATTAGGTCCACTTAGTGCAGAGCTGAGTTCAATTCCGGGATATCCTTGTTAACTTTCTGTCTCGTTGATCTGTCTAATGTTGACAGTGGGGTGTTGAAGTCTCCCATTGTTATTGTGTGGGAGTCTAAGTTTCTTTGTAGGTCTCTAAGGACATGCTTTATGAATCTGGGTGCTCCTGTATTGGGTGCGTATATATTTAGGATAGTGAGCTCTTCTTGTTGAATTGATCCCTTTACCGTTATGTAATGGCCTTCTTTGTCTCTTTTGATGTTTGTTGGTTTAAAGTATGTTTTATCAGAGACTAGGATTGCAGCCCATGCTTTTTTTCATTTTCCATTTTCCTGGTAGATCTTCCTCCATCCCTTTATTTTGAGCCTATGTGTATCTCTGCATGTGAGATGGGTCTCCTGAATACAGCACACTGATGGGTCTTGACTCTTTATCCAATTTGCCAGTCTGTGTCTTTTAATTGGGGGATTTAGTCCATTTACATTTAAGGTTAATATTGTTATGTGTGAATTTGATCCTGTCATTATGATGTTAGCTGGTTATTTTGCTCGTTAGTTGATGCAGTTTCTTCCTAGCCTCGAAGGTCTTTACAGTTTGGCGTGTTTTTGCAGTGGCTGGTACCGGTCGTTCCTTTCCATGTTTAGTGCTTCCTTCAGGAGCTCTTATAAGGCAGGTCTGGTGGTGACAAAATCTCTCAGCATTTGCTTGTCTGTAAAGGATTTTATTTCTCCTTCACTTATGAAGCTTATTTGGCTGGATATGAAATTCTGGGTTGAAAATTCTTTTCTTTAAGAATGTTGAATATTGGCCCCCACTCTCTTCTGGCTTGTAGTTTCTGCTGAAAGATCCGCTGTTAGTCTGATGGGCTTCCCTTTGTGGGTAACCCGACCTTTCTCACTGGCTGCCCTTAACATTTTTTCCTTCATTTCAAACTTGGTGAATCTGACAATTATGGGTCTTGGGGTTGCTCTTCTCAAGGAGTGTCTTGTGGCATTCTCTCTATTTCCTGAATTTGAATGTTGACCTGCCTTGCTAGGTTGGGGAAGTTCTCCTGGATAATATCCTGCAGAGTGTTTTCCAACTTGGTTCCATTCTCCCCGTCACTTTCAGGTACACCAATCAGACGTAGATTTGGTCTTTTCACATAGTCCCATATTTCTTGGAGGCTTTGTTCGTTTCTTTTTACTCTTTTTTCTCTAAACTTCTCTTCTTGTTTCATTTCATTCATTTGATCTTCAATCACTGATACCCTTTCTTCCACTTGATCGAATTGGCTACTGAAGCTTGTGCATGCATCACCTAGTTCTCATGCCATGGTTTTCAACTCCATCAGGTCATTTAAGGTCTTCTCTGTGCTGTTTATTCTAGTTAGCCATTCGTCTAATCTTTTTTCAAGATTTTTAGCTTCCTTGTGGTAGGTTCAAACATCCTCCTTTAGCTCAGAGAAGTTTGTTATTACTGATCTTCTGAAGCCTACTTCTGTCAACTTGTCAAAGTCATTCTCCATCCAGCTTTGTTCCCTTGCTGGTGAGGAGCTGTGATCCTTTGAAGGAGAAGATACGCTCTGGTTTTTAGAATTTTCGGCTTTTCTGTTCTTGTTTCTCCCCATCTTTGTGGTTTTATCTAGCTTTGGTCTTTGATGATGGTGACCTACAGATGGGGTTTTGGTGTGGATGTCCTTTTTGTTGATGTTGCTGCTATTCCTTTCTGTTTGTTGGTTTTCCTTCTAACGGTCAGGACTCTCAGCTGCAGGTCTGTTGGAGTTTGCTGGAGGTCCACTCCAGACCCTGTCTGCCTCGGTATCACCAGTGGAGGCTGCAGAACAGCAAATATCACAGAACGGCAAATGTTGCTACCTGATCCTTCCTCTGGAAGCTTCGTCTCAGAGGGGCACCTGGCTGTATGAGGTGTCAGTCAGCCCCTACTGGGAGGTATCTCCCAGTTAGTCTACACGGGGGTCAAGGACCCACTTGAGGAGGCAATCTGTCTGTTCTCAGATCTCAGACTCTGTGCTGGAAGAACCACTGCTCTCTTCAAAGCTGTCAGACAGGGATGCTGAAGTCTGCATAAGTTTCTGCTGCCTTTTGTTCAGCTATGCCCTGCCCCCAGAGGTGGAGTCTACAGAGGCAGGCAGGCCTCGTTGAGCAGCGGTGGGCTTCACCCAGTTCGAGCTTCCTGGCTGCTTTGTTTACCTAATCAAGCCTCAGCAATGGCAGACGCCCCTCCCCCAGCCTCACTGCCACCTCGCAGTTCGATCTCAGACTGCTGTGCTAGCAGTGAGTGAGGCTCCATGGGTGTGGGACCCACCGAGTCAGGTGTGGTATATAATGTCCTGGTGTGCTGTTTGTTAAGACTGTTGGAAAAGTGCAGTATTAGGGCAAGAGTGTCCCAATTTTCCAGGCACCGTCTGTCATGGCTTCCCTTGGCTAGGAAAGGGAATTCCCTGACCCCTTGCACTTCCCGGGTGAGGTGATGCCCTGTCGTGTTTCAGCTCACACTCCATGGGCTGCACCCACTTTCCAACCAATCCCAATGAGGTGAACCTGGTACGTCAGTTGGAAATGCAGAAATCACCCGTCTTCTGTGTTGCTCATGCTGGGAGCTGTAGACTGGAGCTGTTCCTATTCGGCCATCTTGGAATTGAGTGTGCTCCATTTTTCTTAAGAGATGTGGTGAAGTCATGTGAAAAATGCTGAAGTGGAATCAAAAGATTTGAATTTGAAATATTGTCCTGGCTGGGTGCGGTGGCTCATGCCTGTAATCCCAGCACTTTGGGAGGCTGCGGCAGGTGGATCATGAGATCAGGAGTTCGAGACCATTGTGGCCAACATGGTGAAACCCCATCTCTACTAAAAATACAAAAATTAGCTGGGTGTGTTGGTGCATGCCTTTAATCCCAGCTACTCGGGAGGATGAGACAGGAGAACTGCTTGAACCCAGGAGGTGGAGGTTTCAGTGAGCCGAGAACGTGCCACTGCACTCCATCCCGGTGACAGAGCGAGACTGTCTCAAAAAAAGAAAGAAAAGAAAAAGAAAAGAAAAGAAATATAGTCCAGCCACTTCCTAGCTCTGCAAACTTGGACTAATTACTTAACCTCTCTGAGTCTTACTTTCTTATTTTTGAGGCAGTATATATAGGTCTATAGCAAAGCATAATGTATATTAAAGTGATTTAGAAATTATGCACTTTTAAAAATATAGCGAGCTATCATTTGATTAAACACACACACGTACGTACACACGGGGAAACACACTCAAGACCACCATTTTCTGTCATCCTTTAGTGAAGTATTTATCTAAATTATGCTTTTCCAAAACAATCTGCTGTGTATACAAACTCTTAGTTGCCACAGAAACATCAACCAATTAGTAAGCCAGGTTGGTTTATTTGATTAATATAACTGGTAAATCTTTTTTCCCTTCTTTACATAATAGGAAGTAGAACTGTGGCAAGATTAAAGGAATTTCCTTGTGTGGCAGCCATGGAGGGGTGCAGTTCAGATTTTTCTTCAAGAGCAAACCTTCTGGAAAGATTATAGCCAGTTGACAAGTTCCAGCTGTGATGTCTTTGGTCCCTATTGCAGCATTTTTGCCCAAGGTATGTTCTCAGGCAGCTCTAGGCAACGACTGGGTACATATTGTGTGCTGGTTATTTCTATCCAGTGCTCCAGAGTCCTCTCTTGAACTGGAGGAGATGTTTAAAAGTATACACCATAGTCTGAGGCTCTTCCTAGCCTATGATCCCCAACCCTTCCTTTTGCATGTGACGGATCTATATTGTTCTCTGAAAGCTTTTACTGCCTACTCATACTCTCTCTTCCCTTTTATCTATCAGAGTGATTACTTCCATAAATCTTTTGTACTTCTAACCTTGTCTTGGTATCTGTTTCCTGGAGGATTTAAACTGACATTCTTTGGTGGAGCCAAAACTTAAACAAAGGTCTTCTGACTCCAAGATCATTACAGAGCTGCCATATTATATATATAATATATCAATATATAGTATAATTATAATGTTAATATATAATACATTATATTAATATAATATAGATGATATATACTATATAACTATGTAATAGATATATATTATATATTATATGCATATTATATAGTATGTATATTATGTTATATATTATATATTGTTATATGAATATTATATAATATGTATGTAATATATAATGTATATTATAATGTATATGTATATGTTATATAATATGTATATATTATATAGTGTACATATATAATTATATATATTATATATACATATACATATTATATAATATATATCTATTACATTGGGAGCTATTTTGCATACCCACTGGGACTATCTAGATGAAACTCACTAGATTAACTATTGTGTGGGTTCACCACAGCCCAGGCTGTGTATGGTTGTATATGAATAGAGCCAGTTTTATAGAATGCAGACTCTTGTGGCTGAATCCAATGTATTCAAGAGCAGTCGTTCATTTGGGAGGAGGATTGAAATAAGTCAATAGTTAATGTGCTAGTGAGTCCAACTCTGAATCTTGTTCACTGCTTTCCATAAAATATTTCCTGTGAGCTTTCAGTGGATATAAAGCAAAGGTCTTTCCTGCCCCCATACCCCTGCAGGAGTTACCTAAAACTAATTGCTTACTTCCTCAATGCCCAACTGAGATCAGCTACATTGAAAGAATGGGGGTTTGGAATTGGATTTGAGGTAACAGTAGGGAAGAGGTGATTTTTGGAGTGCACAGAATGCATCTGGGGAAGACTGATGTATCAGCATTAGGTAGGTACTTTACCTAGGAGGTGGGGAATTATGAAGAACTGTAGAACCAAAAGGCAATCCAGACCTATGTTGGCTGCTTTGCATTTTTACCTGGAGCCCCTAGTTAGCAAGATTCTTTGTGATGTCTCTTCCATCCACGTCTTCAGTTAAAACATACATGAACAATTAGACTTTATTGAGCACATACTATATGCCAAACTCCATACCAGGAGTCTTTGGCGTTCCCAAACATAATATGAAGAGACATATGTGAATATGACTTCTAATTGCAAGGCAGGCTATAACCTGGACTCTAATAAAGGACTAAGAGAAAAAAATAAACAGAGAGATTGGTTCTGAAAATGACTCTTTAGTAAGGTTTATTAAAGTAATTGATCCAAGGGTTGGGTATACAAAAGGAGTAAAAGTTAAGCAAAACAGACATTCCGAACAGCAGTGATAGTATAAAGAATGACACCAAGGTGAATGATGACATTACATTTGCAGGAAACAAACAAAGCTCTTTGAGTTCTGTTGGTGTCAAAAACAGGAAATAGTGGAGGATGAGTGAGTGCTGTCACGGAGGTAGAAGAGCCCAGGTCACACATGGTCTTTGTGCTAAATTAAGGGAGCATGAATTCTGTCCATGGACAACCAGGAGTTGCTGACAAGTGTAAGTGTCTGTCTTCAGTGGTGGGAGTGTTTATTATTTTTTACATTAATAAGTCTAACTTTGAAGCCTGCCATGTCCTGAATATAGCTACAAAAATACCCACTGTGCACGCTATTGTATTTACATACTAAAAAACAGTAGGCAGTGGTGAAGCAGCTAAGCCTCTTTAGATTTCAGATTTTAGATTTAGTTTTTTCATCTGTAAAATGAATATGATCTCTAAGGTTCCTCCCACCTTATACTTGTATATTCTGTTCTTAATAACTTGTCCAGACACAACTTAGATGATGATAGCCCTGGCATGAAAATGTATCTGAATTGGGTCTATACCATTAATGTGAAGTAGCTAAGCAATTAGCAGTTTAACTGGACAGCGTAGTTGAGGTTCCAAAGTAGATTTATTTAAATTGGGTGAACTATCTGGATAAGACTTGTCTACTGTCTGAAAGGCACACTATTTAGCTTATATTTTTTTAAAACCAGTGCTTTGGTTTTGCATTTGAAATCTGATGCTTATTTTGCATTGGTCCCTCTGCCTCAAGAAGCAGTGGCCTGTCAGGCTTACTGATATTTAAACATGTGGGAAATGCTCCCAGGTAACCCCAGTCGTTAAATCTGAAGGCTTGTTGGGTCCAGGGAGGCAGCCCAGGCAGGCAGCTGCATAATTGAGTACTGTTCTGGGTCTTTCATTTTATTTTAAAGCATATTTTTAACCACGTTCTTTCCAGTTAACCATCTCTCTGGTTATTATGAGGAGCTGATTTCTTCAGCACACAATAATTGCAAAATTATGACTCCATGGCTGTAGACATAAGTGTTGTCTTGCCTATCTGGCAAATCACGCAACAAGGGAATTTAGGATTTGGGAGGCACTTAGAAGTCATCTCATCTACAGCTCTGATTTTACAAATAAGGAAACCATTGGGCCAGTGTGCCTTTTTAAAATTCACAAGTATTGGTACTCACTTCTTTTTTAGTCTTATTCCTCCTCCTCATCTACAAGAATATTGGACTTTACTTTTCATAAAAATGTGATTTCCTACCAGTTTAATGCTCTTGGTGATAACTATGTAGTTTGGCTAGAGAATGGAATCTCGCGTCAGTGTGCTGGCAAGTTATTCGTTTAGCTATTCCTGAGGGGTCTCATTGCTGTTTCACAGTGATCTTCTTGAATGTAAGTTTGTTCAACAGTTATTCAGCTTCTTTTATTGGGCTGTTATTGTTCTCTCTGAGATGAGTAAGACATGTTCTCTACTTTGAAGAGCTCACTATTTGGGAAGGAGGGTGGACACTCTAAAATGTAACTGCAATTTAAAGTGGCAAGTATTTAAAAAGTGAAATAAATGTAGGGACAGAAATGAGGGAAGAATTAGTTCCACCTGAGATATGAGAGATTGACGGAGAGCGTGTGACATTTGAGTTGGCCCTGGGAGGAGAAGAGGGGTGTGGCAGGTACTTGAGTTTCAGAGGCTTGATGTGTGAGAAGACACTCTAGGCAGGGTAATGACTCAGTCACTCAAGCATACAAGAGCATGACACATTGAGAAAGTGCAAGAGCTATAGCTGAAGTTGAAGCTGTGTGGCTTCAAAGAGGGCTGGGTGGCAGCCCCAAAAATTCAAGTTGGAACAGAATTATTGAGAACCTTATATGGCAGCTGAAGGCATATGGGACTTGTCTTCTATTTATTATTCTATAGGTGGTAGCCATTGACGATGTGTGAGTGAGACACAGTTTAGAAAAACACCTTTTCAGCTTCAGTGTACAGGATGGATTGGATGCAGGGACATCCATGAAAAGACAACCATAAATACATAGTTATCCCTGACCACAGGAATGTAGCCTTACTTTTCTGTATGTGTCTGGCTTTAGTTGGCATTAAACCCTATCTAGAAGATACAGGATATCTATGTGAGTCTGCTTGGGCTGCCGTAACAAAACACCACATATTAGAGGGGTGGCCTAGACAACAGACATTTATTTTCTCTCATTTCTGGAGACTAGAATTCCCAGAAGGAGTCATTGGTTGATTCAGTTCCTAATAAGGCCTCTCTTCCTGGTTTATAGATGTTCTCACATGGCCTCTTCTTTGGTGCAGGTGCAGAGAAGGCGAGAGAGAGAGAGAGAGACAGAGAGAGAGAGAAAGAGAAAGAGAAAGAGAGAGGAGTGAAAGAAATCTCTAGTGTCCCTTCTTCTTCTTATAAAGACATGAGTTCTATTGTATTAACACCCCAGTCTTCTGATCTCATTTAACATAAACTATCTCCATAAAGATTCTATTTCCAAATACAGCCACATTGGGATTTGGGGCATCACATATGAGGTTTTTTTTGGAGGGGAGGGTGAGCACAATTCATTCCATAACAGCAGCTGAGCACCCTTTTTGTCCTGCATAGCAACAATGCACACAAAGTTGTAGAAAGAGCTTTAATGAATAGACACTCTACAATAACTATCATTTCTGCAGATTACAAATGAAATGCAAATATGCCATAGGAAGATTCTAGCTCTGTCCAGCGTCACTAACATGTTATCTTCTTGTTTTTCTTCTGGTAGAGGAAACAGAGACTCCTCCTGTGCCCAAGAGTTCAGAGCACTTGGATCACCTGCCATGCTAATATTTGATCCTGTACTTGGGAAATTTATCCCTCAGCTCTAGGTAACCATTACCTGGTCCTCTGAGCAATCTGTTCCTCTCAAATTCCACCATTGTCCTTCATGTTTTATTATCTTTTATCCTCTTCCCACAACAACCTCTGGACTTCTCCATTTCCCCAAGTCATAGTTTTTTTCCCTCTCCAATCTCCAGACCTTCCTATATGTTCTAAACCAACTTCTTTCATCTGAATGGTACACAGAGCAGGATCCTTCAGCCTCAGCTTTCTTTTTTGCAACCTGATATGGGCTGTGTACTGCGAATGCCGCATCATTTCCCGAACTTCACACCTGAGAGACTAACTGATTAAATGCTTGATGAATGGATGCTAGGAAACATGGCTAATGCCAGCAATGACTGGAACTAGAAATAGGAGTTGTTTATAGACTTTGTCTAGCTCTGTGTCAAATAGACATACTATAAAAATTTCAGCAGAATTTTAGAATTCTGGTTCTGCTTATCCAAAAAATTGTCTTGTGTATCATTTTAATACAAAATTATTCATTGGTCATTACTTACAGATAAGATGGTAATATATGTTGGACAAGCAGTGGTATTTTCACTTGGAAAATAAGATAAAAATACATATTTGTGAAAAAACATCAGGTACAAATGATAACATGCTGTATCTCCAGCCCTTATAACTAACAGTGGCCTGGATATTTGTAGAATTAATGCAAAGATGAGATGATATTTAACATTGATTAATTCAACAAAAATATATTTGTGTACACCTTAGTGTTAATGATTTGCTAAGGGCTGACGGGTCTAGCAGGGGTAAAACCTGCTCGCATGCCCATTTTCCTAGAATACCCCTCGTCTACACCAGGTACTTATGATCTTTGACGCTACAGTTTTGTGAGGGATCCACAGAGGAAGGCAGATAAATTAGCCTAATCCAGAGACAAACTTTGTAAAGAACCATATAGTCCATATTTTAGGCCTTTTGATCTCTCTAGTCTTTGTTGCAAACCCTCAACTCTGCCTTTGTAGCATGAAAAGAAAGCAATAGACAATATGTAAATGAGTGGGTATGGCCATGTTCCAATAAAACTGTATTTATTTATTTAATTAATTTATAATTTCAACTTTTCTTTTAGATTCAGAGGTTATATGTGCAGGTCTGTTACATGGGTATATTGTGTGATGCTGGCGTTTGGGGTATGACTTATCCCATCACCCAGGTAGTCAGCATAGTTTTTCAACCCTTGCCCTCCTCCCTCCCTATCCCCTTTAATAGTCCCCGGTGTTTATTGTTCCCATCGTTGTGTCCATGTATAATCAATATCTAGTTCCCACTTATAAGTGAGAACATGCAGTGTTTGGTCTTCTGTTTCTGCATTAATTCACTTAGGATAATGGCCTCCAGCTGCCTTCTTGTTGCTGCAAATGACATGATTTCATTCCTTTTTATTGCTGTGTAGTGTTCCATGATGTATATGTACCACGTTTTCTTAATCCATCCTCCACTGATGGACACCAAGGTGGATTCCATATCTTTACTATGGTTAACAGTGCTGTGATGAACACATGCATGCATGTGGCATTTTGTAAAATGACTTATTTTCCTTTGGTTATATACCCAGTAATGGGATTTCTGAGCAATAAAGCTTTATTGACAAAAACATTTAGGCTAGATTAGGCCCATGGCCTGTTTGCCAGTCTCTGGAATTAATATGGGAGCTACTGGGGTGAAAGTCAGGTCACCTTCATACACAAAAAAATTGTAGAATTTGGGAACTGAATGGACTCTACAGACATTGCTCTTTGTTGTTCTCAGATAGCAAAATCCCAACCCTGGTAAATCCAGCCCTACTTATCTATTGCAGTATGTGAACACAAATTGAGAAAAGCAAAGGATCATGCTGACAGATTTCCATTTAAATTCAAGTGAGTCCTTAGCGCTACCCAGAAATCCTACTTATTTACCTGACATACTCATTATCCCTCTCCCCCAGAAGTCTTTTCTATGTCTTACCTTTCTCACCTGGACTCCATCACCTCTGTTGCAGCAATAAAGGTGTGTACCTGAATGTCCCCACGGAAAAAATCTGCAATTCAGCTGCAGGGAGTGCAACTAACTGACAGCCTACAACCATTAGCTCCTTGAGGAAATGCCTCAGCTTTCCAGGTGGGGCCACACGCTTCCTATGTAATCATTAGCCGATGACTGGATACACTGGAGGTGCAAGGACCTGGCCATTTTGGCCAAGGTGGAACTCCTCTAAATTTTTCTCTTTGCCCTGGAGAACTGTTTTGGGTTGCCAAAAATTTTTCAAATCTTATCACTGCCTGAGGTTTTCCCTACCTGATGCTGTTTACTCCACACATCCTTTTCACTGTCCAAACATGCAGCCTCCTTTTAGACAGAAATATAATATGCAACGTGCAAAAACATTAAAAGCTGACTTATTTTTTTTCTGGTCTCTGCATTTAAAAAATGTGTTTTGGCAAAGGATTAAAAAATAATGTTTTATCTAGTTAAAGAAGAGCACTGAGTCATCGTGCAGCTAGTGGTTGCTGATGACTAGCTAGATTCTCTGCAAACCTCCCATTGCACCATAAGCTTTGAGCCCTTCTCCCTGGAGACTAAGGCAGCAGCTCCAACACCAAAGAGCCTCACTGACCAAAAGATAACAAGATGTGAAAAGGACTGACAGCTATTTCTCCACACTATTCAGAATAATATTGGAGTCTGTACCTTCCTATAGGGCTCTCTGTCTCCCCAGTGACTATGCCACGGAAATGTATTTATTGCATTTTACTCTTTAGACTTGAATTTATAATACAAGAAAAAATTTTGCAAGAGAAGCATAGGGCTCAAATCGTTATTTTGGCTTGCTGTTGATTGTACGGGTACAACATCAACTGGCTGATTGTCATCTAATATTTATATGTCTTGTGTGTATAGTGCTTTGCAGTTGAGAGAATTCGCCCTCCACTATTGCATGTGAATCTTCTAACAATCTTGTGAGGGGAAAAGGACAGACATTGTTTGTGTTTTACATATATGCACAATGAGGTTCATAGAGGTTGGGTATAATTATCTATCTCTTACAAATAAGGACAATGAACTTCATAGAGGTTATGTGCTTCTTTCAGTGTCACAAAGCAAGAAAATGCAAAAGCTGTCACTAAATCCTAAGATTTTCAAGTCTCACTGAGACTCATTCTACTGCATTACATGCCTTGAGAGATATTACTCTGACAAAATACAAGAAGACATCCGTGATTTCAGTCCGAGCTTTTGTCAAATATTTCTTGTGCATAATAACAAATATGGAATATTTGCTTCCTTATTCTATTTACATGAGATGCAAAAAACAATAAATTGTTCAATAATGAAAACTGCTTTGAAGTATTACTTGCGTGTTCTGCTTAAGTGTTAAAAGCTGACTGTTGTTTATATTCGCTAAGAGCCTATTTTTTTATAGTAAGAGATTTATTGGCTGGAACTAACTGCACAGTTGTGGGACTGGCTAGTCAAGTCCAAAATCCATAGATGCAGTTTGCCAGAAAAAGAAGGCTAGAACTCTTACACCTGGGCTAAAGCTGCTGCCCACCATGGAGATTTCTTCCTCTGTGAAGCCTCAGCTCTGTTCTTTAGGCCTTTTGACAGGTTGAATCAGGCGCACCCAGATAATCTAGTATATAGCTGTATTTTTGTGAAAGACTAATTCGATTGTGACTCATAGTGAAAGTTTAGTGGACACAATGACTCAGAAATGAAAGAAACAAGTGAATTATGTGCCAGTGTCATTTGGCTATCAACCAGCATGCTGAACTACAGGACTCAGATGCATCAGTAAGTCACTGACCATACATGACTGTTGAAAACATGTCAAATGATTTTTTTTTGGCTCAAGGAAACAAATGAAATTGCTCAGTTACGCAAGTTTTTTTTTCTTTTGTAGCTCTCCAATTAAGCAGAATACATTCATTAAAATTAGAAAGTTGAATTTAGAATAACTTAGGCTGCTGGAATTTTTAAATGGGTATTTATACTTATCATATTAAAAAGAAATAAGAGATATAAAGCTTATGAAAATATGATTTAATATACTTTATTCAAGAGAAGAAATTTGGAAAGAAAATACATGTATTTTAATTTGTTTTTATGAAAGCAATGTGTAGATACCATCTTGTCATAAAAATAATTTCAAATAATGCAGACTATAGGACAAAATGGAAACTTTGCCTTTAATTTTGCCTTCCTTTCCCAGAAACAACCACTGTGAACAATTTTACGGATATCTTTCTAGCCCTGTTTTGTACAAATATACCTTTTTATATAAATTGGACTTTGCAGTGTGTATTATTCAAACACTCTCTTATTTTCACTAAATGTTGTATATTAGACATTGTTCTATGTCAGTGTATACATCATCCTCTTTAAATATATCATTTTAATGTATAGTATGGTTGTTACTGCAACTTATTTGCCCACTATCCAATTAATACGCATTTAAGTTCTCTTTCAACAATGATATGGTGCACATTTTTGTCTGTGCCTCATTGTTCACATAAGGATAAATACTCAGAAACCAAACCGTGTGTTTGAAGAATCTGTGCATTTACAACTCATGTCAATTGAGAGAAGGGGCAGAGCAAAATGGCCAAATAGAAGCGTCCACCAATCATCCTCCACAGAGGACCACCAAACTGAACAACTATTCACACTCAAAAGCGCCCTTCTTAAAAACCAGAAAATTAGGTGAATTATCACAGTACATGGCTTTCACATCATAGCAAGGAAAGAGGCACTGGAGAGGATAGGAAAGACGGTCTTGAGTTACCGAATCCACCCTTCTCCCGTCCTGAGGCAGCAGCCACATAACATGAAGAGAGAATCTGTGCATTTGGGAGATGGAGAGCACAGTGATTGTGTGACTTTGCATTGAAACTCTCTGCTTTCCCCATCACGGTGAAAGCAACACCAGGCAGAACTCAGCTGGTGCTCATGAAGGGAGCATTTAGACCAACCCTAGCCAGATAGGAATCACTCATCCCAGCAGTCAGAACCTGTGAACTAAAGTGCTCTGTGGTTCTAAATAAACCTGAACTTCAGTCTAGGTCACAGGATTGTAATTCCTGGGTAAGTCATGGAGCTGTGCTGGGCTCAAAACCAGTGGAAGTGGGGTGCATTCAACCTAGTGAGACATCAGCTGGGGCAGCCAAAGGAGTGCTTCTCCACCCCTCCCTGAACTCCAAGCAGCATAACTCTGCTGAGGTGAGAGTCCCCTTCCTCTTGCTTGTGGAGAAGGGAGGGAAGACTAGAGGACTTTGTCTTGCACCTTGTATGTCAGCTCAGCCATAGTAGGGTAGGGCACCAGGCAGAGTCCTGAGCCCTAGCTTTTGATTGACATTTCTAGATATACTCTGAGCCAGATGGGAACCCACTGCATTGAAGGGAAGAACCCAGTACTGGCAGGACTCATCACCTGCTGATTAAAGAGCCCTTCAGCCCTGAATAGTGACCTTTGGTAGCCAGGCAGTACTTACTGTGGGCCTCAGATGAGACTAGAAGACATGCTCGCTTCAGATGTGAGTAAGCACATTCCCTGTTGTGGTGGCTACAGAAGAGAGACACCTTATGCTTGAGAAAAGGAAAATAAAGAGTAAAGAGGACTTTGTCTTGCAGCTTAGGCATCAGCTTCGCCATAGTAGGGCAGAGCACCAAGTGGGTTCTTGGGGTCACCAGTTCCAGGCCTATGGCTCTTAGAAGGCATTTCTGGACCTTCACTGGGGCAGAGGTGAGCACACTTCCCTGAAGTGAGAGTCCAAGGCCTGCCAGCATTCACCACAAGCTTACTAAAGAGCCCTTGGGAATTAAGCGGACATCAGCGGTAGCCAGGCAGTACATCCCCATGGTTGTGGCCATGGGGAGAGACTCCTCTGCTCGTGGAAAGAGAGGAAGAGAGGAAAAGGCTTTGTCTTGTGGTTTGGGTGGCAGTTCAGCCACAGTAGAATAGAGTACCAGGTGGATACCTAAGGTTTCTATCTCCAAGCTTTGACTCCCAGACAGCAACTTTGGACCCAGTCAGGGCCAGGGGAGACTTGTCACCCAAAGGGAAGGGCACAAGTCTGGCTGGCTTTGCTGCCTGCAGATTATATAGCCATAAGGCCTTCAGCAAACACAAGCAGTAGCCATGCAGTAGTTACCATAGGCCTTGGGTAGGACCAAGTGCTGTACTGGCTTCAGGTCTGACCCAGCAAAGTCACAGTGATGGTGGCCACAGGCCTGCTTCAGTCACTCCTCCGCCAAACTCTAGGGAACTCAGCAGAGAGAGAGACTCTGTTTGGGGGATAGTAAGGGAAGAAAACAAGAGTCTCTGCCTGGTAATCCAGAGAATTCTTATGGACCTTATCTAAGACCACCGAGGTGGTACCTCTATGAGTGTACAAGATCCTCACTGCTTTTGGGCTTGGGGTGTCCTCTAATGAAGATATGGTCGCATTGACCAAAAACTTAGATCACAACACCCAAGTTTCTTGAAATACCTCAAAAGCCTTCACAAGAAGGACATGTACACACAAGCCGACTGCAAAGACTACAATAAATATGTAACTCTTCAATGCACAGACATTGATCAACATCCACAAGAATCAAGACCATACAGGAAAACATGATCTTACAAAAAAACCAAACAAACAACTAAATAAGGCACCAGGGACCAATCCTGGAGATACACAGATATGTGACCTTTCAGACAGGGAATTCAAAATAGTGGTCTTGAGGAAACTCAAATAAATTGAAGATAACATAGAGAAGGAATTCAGAATTCTATCAGATGCATTCAACAAAGAGATTGAAATAATTGAAAAGAATCAAGCAGAAATTCTGGATTTGAAAAGTGCAAATGACATACTGAACAATGCATCTGAGTCTCTTAACAGCAGACTTGATCAAGCAGAAGAAAGAATTTAGTGAGCTTGAAGACAGGCTATTTGAAAATACACAGTCAGAGGAGAGAAAATAAAAAAGAATAAAGCATGCCTACAAAAATCTAAAAAATAGTCTCAAAAAGGCAAATCTAAGAGTTATTGGCCTTGGAGGTGGTAGAGACAAAAAAGGGGCAGAAACTTTATTTAAAGGGATAATAACAGAGTACTTTCCAAACCTATAGAAATATATCGATATTCCAGTACAAGAAAGTTATAGAACACCAAGCAGATTCGACCCAAATAAAACTGCCTCGAAACATTTATCATTACATCCCAAAGATCAAGGATAAAGAAAAGATTCTAAAAGCAGCAAGAGAAAAGAGACAAGTAATACACAATTGAGATTCAGTACCTCTGGCAGCGGACTTATCAGTGGAATCTTTACAAGTCAGGAGAGAGTGGCATGAAATATTTAAAGTGCCAAAGGAAAAGATTTTTTTTATCCCAGAACAGTAAATCTAGTGAAAATATCCTTCAAACATGAAGGAGAAAGAAATGCTTTCTCAGACAAACAAAAGCTGAGGGACTTCATCACCACCAGACCTGTCCTACAAGAAATGCAAAAGGGAGTACTTCAATCTCAAAGAAAAATATGTTAACAAACAATAAGAAATCACCTGAAGGTACAAAACTCACAGGTAATAGTAAGTAAACAGAAAAACAGACTATTATAACACGGTAATTGTAGTACCTAAACTACTCATACCTTGAGTAGAAAGATGGATCATTAACCTATCTAAAATAATTGCTACAACAAATTTTCAAGATACAGACAGTATAATAAATTATAAACAGAAACAACAAAATGATAAACAGTGGTGGGATAAAGTTCAAGTGTAGAGTTCGTAACAGTTTTCTCTTTGATTGTTTGTTATTTAGTTTGTTTTTGCCATCAGTGTTAGGATTTCATCAGTTTAATATAATGGGTTATAAGATGTTATTTGTATCATGGTAACCTCAAATTGAAAAACCTACAACAGATACGCAAAACATAAAAAGTAACAAATTGAAACATATCACCTGAAAAAAGTCAACTTTATAAAAAGAAAGGAAGAAAGGAAAGAAAAAAATAAAGAGACCAAAAAGCACCAGAAAACTAATAAAAAAAATGGCAGGAGTAAGTCCTTACTATCAATAATAACATTGAATGTAACTAGACTAAGCTCTCTAATCAAAAGAAGTAGAGTGGCTGAATGGATAAAAAAGAAAAGACCTGACAATCTGTTTCTGACAAGAAAAAGGTTTCTCCTATAAGTATACATGTAGACTAAAAACAAAAGGAAGGAAAAAAGTATTCCGTGCAAATGGATACCAAACCAAGTTAGGAATAGCTATACTTACATCAGTAAAAACAGATTTTATGAAAAAAAACTTTAAAAAGGCACAAAGAAGGTCATGCTATAATAATGTGTGAATTCAGCAAAAGGTTATTACAACTGGAAATATATATGCACCCAACACTGGAGCACCCAGATAAATAAAACGAATATTATGAGCGCTAAAGAGAGAGATAAGCCTCAATAAAATAATAGCTGCAGACTTCCACACTCCAATTTTAGCATTAGACAGTTCATCCACACAGAAAATAAACAGACATATCAGACTTAATCTACACTATAGGCCAAGTGGACCTTTTAGACATTTACAGGACATTTCATTCAAGAGCTAGAGAATACGCAATCTTCTTCTCAGCAAATGGATCATTCTCAAAGATAGACCATATATTACACCACAAGATAAATGTTAAAAAATTAGAAAAAGAAATTGTTATCATTTCAAATATCTTCTCTTACTACAATGGAATAAAACTAGAAATCAATAACAACAGGAATTTTGGAAACAATATGAACACAAGGAAATTAAACAATATGCTCCTGAGTGACCAGTGAGTCAATGAAGAAATTAAGAACAAAATTGGGCCGGGCGCGGTGGCTCACGCCTGTAATCCCAGCACTTTGGGAGGCCGAGGCGGGCGGATCACGAGGTCAGGAGATCGAGACCATCCCGGCGAAAACGGTGAAACCCCGTCTCTACTAAAAATACAAAAAATTAGCCGGGCGTAGTGGCGGGCGCCTGTAGTCCCAGCTACTTGGGAGGCTGAGGTGGGAGAATGGCGTGAACCCGGGAGGCGGAGCTTGCAGTGAGCCGAGATCCCGCCACTGCACTCCAGCCTGGGCGACAGAGCGAGACTCCGTCTCAAAAAAAAAAAAAAAAAAAGAACAAAATTGAAAAGTTTCTTGAAACAAATGAAAATGGAAACAAAACGTACAGAAACTTAGGGGATATAGTGAAAGCAATATTAATGGGAAAGTTTGTAGCAATAAGCAACTACATCAAAACAGTTTTAAAAAAATCAAACGAATAATCTAATGTTGCATCCTAAAGAATTAGAAACACAAAAGCAAACTAAATCCAAAATTAATAGATGCAAAGAATTAATATCTGAGCAAAAATAAATAAAATTAAAATTAAAATTCCATACAAAAGATCAACAAAACAAAAAGTTGGTTATTTGAAAAGATAAGCAAAATTGAAAAACCTTTAGCCAGACTAAGAAAGGACCCAAACTAAGAGACTAAGAGAAGACCCAAATAAATAAAATCATAGATGAAAAGGGAGACATTACAACTGATACTTCAGAAATTCAAAGGATCATTAGAGGCTACCTTGAGTAACTATATACTAATAAATTCGAAAAGCTATGAGAAATGGATAAATTCCTAGACACAACCTATTAAGATTGAACCATGAGGAAATCCAAAACCAGAGCAGACCAATAACAAGTGATGAGATTGAAGTCGTAATAAAAATCTCCCAGCAAAGAAAAGCCCAGGACCCGATGACTTCACTGCTGAATTTTACCACACATTTAAATAAGAAATAATATCAATCCTACTCAAACTATTTTGAAACATTTAAAGAAGTAATAGTAGCAATCCTACGCAAACTATTCTGACAAGTAGATGAGGAGGCAATACTTCCAACCTCATTCTATGAGGTCAGTATTACTCTGATACCAAAACTAGACAAAGACACACAATGGAAGAAAACTACAGCCCAATATTCCTGACAAATATTGATGTAAAAATCATTAAAAAAATTCTAGCCAACTGAATTCAACAACACATTAAAAGGCCATTCATCATGACCAAATGGGATTTATCCTAGTGATGCAATGATGGTGTAACATATGCAAATCAATCAATGTCCCACACCATGTTACTAGACAGGACAAAAACTGTATGATCATTTAGTTTGTTGCTGAAAAATGATTTAGTAATATCGCACAACTCTTCATGATAAAAACTCTCAAAAACCTGGCTATAGAAAGAACATATCTCAACACAATAAAAGACGTATATGAAAGACCCACATCTAGGATCATACCGAATGGGAAAAACTAAAAGCCTTTTCTTCAAGATCTGGAACATGACAATGATGTCCTCTTTCACCACTATTATTCACTGTAGTACTGGGAGACTTTGTTAGGGCAATCAGAAAAGAGAAATAAATAAACAGCATGAAAATTGGAAAGAAAAAAGTCAAATCTTGTTTGCAGATGATATGGCCTTATATTTGAAAAATCCTAAAGACTTGATTTGTCCCCACCCAAAATTTTACATTGGGTGGGGGCTGTGTCCCCACCCAAAATTTTACATTGAATTGTAATCCCCATAATCCCCACTTGTCAAGGGTGGGACCAGGTGGAGGTAATCGGATCATGGGGGTGGTTTCCCCCAGGTGTTCTCGGATGGTGAGTGGGTTTCATGATATCTGATGGTTTTATACGCATCTGGCATTTCCTCTCCTTGCACTCAGTCTGTCCTGCTGCCCTGTGAAGAAGGTGCCTGCTTCTCCTTTGCCTTCCGCTGTGATTGTAAGTTTCCTGAGGCATCCCTAGAAATGTGGAACTGTTAGTAAATTAAACCTCACTCCTTTATAAATTACCCAGTCTCAGGCAGTTCCTTATAGCAGTGTGAGAACTGATTAATACAAGGCTCCACAAGAAAACTATTAGAATTGATAAATTCAGTAAAGTTGTAGGATTCAAAATCAACATACAAAAATCAGTAACATTTCTATATGTCATCAGCAAACAATCTGAAAAAAATCAAAGAAGTAATCCCATTTACAATTGCTACAAATAAAATTAAATACCTAGGAATTTATTTAACCAAAAATGTGTAAGGTCTCTACAAGGAAAGCTATAAAACATTGAGGAAAAAATGGAAGAGTACCCCCAAAATCAAAAGGTATTTTATATTTGTGGATTTGAAGAAATCATATTGCTAAAATGTCCATAGTACCCAAAGCAATCTACAGATTCAATGCAAACCCTATCAAAACACCAATGTCATTCTTCAAAGCAATCTACAGATTCAATGCAAACCCTATCAAAACACCAATGCCATTCTTCACGAAAAAAGAATTAAAAAACTATCTTAAAATTTACATAGAGCAAATAAAGACCCAAAATAGCCAAAGCTATTCTGGGCAAAAACAATAGAACTGGAGAAATTACATTACCTGGCTTAAAATTACACTACAAGGCTATATTAACGAAAATGTCATGGTACTGGTATAAAAAGAGAAATATATATCAATGGAACAGAATAGATAACCCCAAAATAAATCCATACACCTACAGAGAACTCATTTTCAACAAAGTTCCAAGAACACACATTGAGAAAGGGACTGTCTCTTCAGTAAATATTGTTGGGAAAACTGGGTATTCATATGGAGAAGAATGACACTAAGCCCCTATCTCTTGCCATATACAAAAAGCAAATCATAATGGATTGAAAACTTAAATTTGTGACATCAAACTATGAAAATTCTAAAATAAAATATTCAGAAAACTCTCCAGGACATTGGGCTGGGCAATGATTTCTTGAGTAATACCCCACAGGCACAGACAATCAAAGCAAAAATGGACAAATGGGATTACATAAAGGTAAAACGCTTCTGCACAGCAAAGGATGTAATCACCCAGGTGAAGAGACAATCTACACAATGGGAGAAAATATTTTCAAACTACTCATCGGTGATAATTAATATTAGATGTCAACTTGATTGGATTGAGGAATGCCTAGATGGGCAGTAAAGTGTTCTATGTGGGTGTGTCTGTGAGGGTGTTGCCAGAGGAGATTAATATTTGAGTTGGTGGACTGGGAGAGGAAGACCCAACCTCAATGTGAGTGGGGGCCATCCAATCAGTTGCCAGTGCAGTTAGAAGAAAGCAGGCCAAAGGAAGGTGGCATAAGCTTGCTTGCTGAGTCTTCTGGCTCTCTTTTTCTTCTTTCCCTGCCAGACATGTGCTTGCTTCTGTTCATCCTGCCCTTGGACATCAGACTCCGGGTTCTTCAGACTTGGATTCTGAGACTTGCACCAGCAGCTTCTTAGGGTCTCTCAAGCCCTTGGATGCAGATTGAATGTTGCAATGTTGCCTTCCTTGGTTTTGAGGATTTTGGACATGGACTGAGCAACTACTGTCTTCTTTCTTTCCCCATATTGCAGACGGTCTATCTCGGGACTTTGCTCTGTAATTGTGTGAGCCAATTCTCCCTAATAAACTCCCTTTTATAAAACAAGTATGTCCTATTGGTTCTGTCCCCCTGAAGAACTCTAATATACTATCTGACAGGGAATTCATAACCAGAGCATAAAAGGAGCTCAAACAACTTTATAGAAAAAAATCTAATAATGTGATTTTAAAAATGTGCAAAAGGCTGGGCATGATGGCTCGTGCCTATAATCCCAGCACTTTGGGAGTCCGAGGCGAGAGGATGACAAGGTCAAGAGATAGAGACCATCCTGGTCAATATGGTGAAACCTCGTCTCTACTAAAAATACAAAAATTAGCTGGGCGTCGTGGCACCCACCTGTAGTCCCAGCTACTCGGGAGGCTGAGGTAGGAGAATTGCTTGAACCCGGGTGGAGAGGTTGCAGTGAGCCGAGATCACACCACTGCCTGGTGACAGAGTGAGACTCCATCTCAAAAAAAAAAAAAAAAAAAAGAGAAAGTGCAAAATATATGTATAGGTATTTCTCAAAAGAAGATATACAGATGACAAACAGGTACATGAAAATGTGCTCAGCATCACTGATTACAGAGAAATGGAAATAGAAACTACTATGAGATATCAGTTCATCTGGTTTAAAATGGCTTTTAGGCATAAGACAGGCAATAATAAATGCTGCAAGGATTCGGAGGAAAGAGAACCTTTGTACTCTGTTGGTGGGAATGTAAATGATTACAACCACTATGAAGAACAGTTTGGAGGTTTCTCAAAAGACTAAAAATAGAGCTACCATATGACCTAGGAATGTCACTGCTGCGTATATACCCAAAAGAAAGGAAATCAGTACGTGGGAGAGATATCTATACTACCATGTTTTCTGTAGCACTATTCACAATAGCCAAGATTTGGAAGCAACCTAAGTGTCCATCGACAGATGAATGGATAAAGAAAATGTATATATACACAATGGAGTACTATTCAGCAATAAGAAGAATGTGATCCTGTCATTTGCAACAACCGGGATGGAATTGGAGGTCATTGTGCTAAGCGAAATAAGGCAGGCACAGAAAGACAAACTTTGAAAGTTCTCACGTTTTAATGGGAGCCAAAAATTAAAACAATTGAACTCAAGGAGACAGAGAGTAGAATGATGGTTATCAGAAGCTGAGAAGGGTAATGTACAGGGGAATTAGGTATGGTTAATGGGTACAAAAATATAGTTACATAGAATGAATAACTTCTAGTATTTGATAGCATAACAAGCTGATGTAGTTAACAATAATTTATTACACATTTTAAAATAAAAGAGTATAATTGGATTGTTTTTGTAACACAAAGATAAATGTTTGATGTGATGGATACCCCATTTACACTGATATAATTAGTAAGCATTGTATCCCTGTATCAAAATGTCTCATGTACTCCAAAAATATTTACACTGAGTATGAACCCACAAAAAATTAAACATAAAAAAATCAAATAAAAATGCATGTATTTGAATTGAAAGAATATATCAATATAATAAAATGGCCATTTTTCTGAAAGCAATGCACAGATTCAATGCTATTTCTATCAAGCTACCAACGTCATTTTTCACAGAGTCAAAAATAACTATTCCAAAAATCACAGAAACCAAAAAAGAGTGTGAATACCCAAAGTAATCCTAAACAAAAAGAATAAAGCTGAACATATCACATTACCTGACTTCAAACTATAGTATAAGGCTACAGTAACCAAAACAGCATGGTGGTGGTACAAAAACAGATACATACGCCAGTGGAACAGAATGGAGAACCTGGAAATAAAGCCACACACATACAGCCACCTATTCTTCGACAAAGTTAACTATAATAAGCAATGGAAAAAGGACTCCCTGTTCCATAAATGGTTCTGTAATAGCTAGCTTAGCCATATGCAGAATAATTAAACTGGACCCCCTACCTTTAGCCATATACAAAAATTAAGATGGATTAAAGGTTTAAATGTAAGACCCCCAAACTATAGGAATCCTAGAAGAAAACCTTGGAAACACCATTCTGGACATTGGCCTTGGGAAATAATGTTTGACTAAGTCCTGAAAGGCAATTGCAAAAAAAAAAAAAAAAATTGAAAACTAGAACCTAATTAAACTAAAGAGTTTTTGCACACCAACAGAAACTATCAACAGCATCAACAGACAACCTACAGAATGGGAGAAAGCATTTGCAAACTATGCTTCCAATAAAGGTCTAATATCAAAAATCTATAATTAACTTAAACAACAAGCAAAACACAACCCATTAAAACATGGGCAAAACACATGAATGGACATTTATTGAAAGAACACCTACAATTGGCCAAGAAACATGTGAAAAAAATGCTCCACATCACTCATCGTCAAATCAATACAAGTCAAAAACACTGGTGTGAGATACCATCTCAGATACCAATTTACACCAATCTGATAGGCTGTTATTATAAAGTTGGAAAACAACAGATGCTGGCAATGCTGCAGAGAAGAAGGAATGCTTATACGCTGTTGGTGGAAATATGAATTAATTCAGCCACTGTGGAAAGCAGTTGGGAGATTTTTCAAAGAACTTAAAACAGAACTACTGTTTGACCCAGCAATCCCATTACTGGTTATATATCCAAAATAAAACAAATAGTTCTACCCAAAAGACACATGCACTGGCAAGGTCATTGCAGCGCTATTGACAATAGCAAGGATGTGGAATCAACCTAGGTGCCTATCAATGGTGGATTGGATAAAGAAAATGTAGTATATATACACCATTAAATATTATGCAGCCATAAAAAGGAACAACATCATGTCCTTTGCAACAACATGGGTGTAGCTGGAGGCCATTATCCTAAATGAATTAATGCAGGGACAGAAAATCAAATTCCACTTGTTCTCACTTCTGAATGGGAGCTAAACACTGGGTACTCATGGACATAAGAATGATGACTATAAACACTGGGGACTACTTAGAGAGGGAAGCGAGGGAAGGTCGCAAGAGTTGAAAAACTGTTGGGTACCATGCTCAGTACCTGGGTGATGGGATCATTTATACCCTAAATCTCAACATCACACAATAAAGTGCTGTAACAAACCTGCACATATACCCTCGAATCTAAAATAAAAGTTGCAAAAAATAAAATTTAAGTAGTCCCTACAAAATTTCCCTCCAAGGAGACTACCCATTTATTTATCTTATTCCAAATAGCACACGAGACTAAATGTTCACTCACAGTAGTGTATCTTACTATAATTTAACTATTTTAGGCCCAGCGTGGTGGCTCACACTTGTAATCTCAGCAATTTGGGAGGCCTAGACGGGCGGATTGCTTGAGTCCAGGAGTTTGACACCAGGTTGGGCAACATGGCAAAACTCCATCTCTACAAAAAATGCAAAAATTAGTTGGGCATGGTGGTGTGTGCCTGTAATCCCAGCTACTCAGGAGGCTGAGGCAGGAGAATTGCTTGAACCCAGGAGGTGGAGGTTGCAGTGAGCTGAGATTGCACCACTGCACTCCAGCCTGGGCAACAGAGCGAGACTCCATCTCAAAAAACAAAAAACAAAAAACAAACAAAAAAATTAGCCAGGCATGGTGGTGTGTGACTGTGGTCCCAGCTACCTGGGGGGCTGAGGTGGGAGGATCGCTTGAACCCAGGAGAAGGAGGTTGCAGTGAGCTGAGATTTCAACACTGCACTCCAGCCTGGGCAGCAGAGAGACCCTGTCTCAAAAAAAAAAATTATTTGGTGATTTGCTGGACAAAAAAAATTATTCTTGTTATTAATTATAATTTTCCTAATTAATAATTATACTGAGTAAAACTTCAAATACGTATTGTCCATATAACTCTTATGAAATGTTCTTATGACTTTTACCTGTTTTCCTACTGAATTGATTGCCTTTGTATTTAGGTTGTTAGAAGCTCTGTATATATTCTGGATATTAATACTTTGGCTGTAGTTTATGTTTACATATTTTCTCTTAGCTTTCCACTTATATTTTACTTTATGGCATCTGTTGTTAATGGATAAGTGTTTACATTCTCAAATCTGTTGATCACTTCTTGTAGGCTTCAGTGTTTTTTGTCTTGTGGAAAAAGGTTTGTTCCATCTTAAAACAGTGAAAACATTTTTCAAATTTTTTCAGTATGCTTAGTAGTGGGTGTTTTTCATATCCTGATCTTTAATTCATATGGAATTTAATTTTTGAATTATCTGAAGAAAGGATCTAATCACACACATAAATCCATGCATATGCATACATATATGTATAAAAAACAGGAAGATAATTGCCCTATGACCATATAAGTATTTTATTCATCACTGATTTATTATGCAGCGAATTCTTCTGTATATCTGTGTTTGTTTTTAGACTTTATTTTCTGTTCTACTGATTTACTTTTCTATTCCTTTGCCAGTGGTACTGTCTTTTATTATAATTTTATAGATAGGGCAACTCTCCAACAACCATTGTGTCATATGTAATGTCCTTTCTATTCTCATTAGTTTTTTTTCAAACAGGTTTTTGAGTGAAGTTCTACCACAAAAACGCTCGTTTTTTAAAAATTAGGATTGCATTGAATTTATGGATTATCTCTACTTATTTCCCTTTCTCATCCCTATTGTTGTATATCTGTACATTCATTTGGTCTTCTCACATTCTCCAATCTTTCTCTAACCTTTCATTTAGATTTCAGGAGTGTTCATCAATATTATTGATTAAAAAACTGGCTTTTGCACAAGCAACAAATACAAAAATAGATGAATTGGACTACATCAAAATGTAAACCTTCTGTGCATCAAAGGACACAATGAACAGAGTGAATAGGCAAACTAAGGAATGGGAGAAAACATTTGCCAATCATATTACTGATAGTGGGTAAATATCTAGAATGTATAAAGAACTCTTAAAACTCAACATCAAAAACACAAATAACCTAATTAAAAAGAGGTTTTTAATATATATTAAAAACCTATGGTTTGAATGTTTGGTCCCCTCCAAAACTTGTGTTTTGGAAATACAATAACCAAAATAACAGTGTTGGAGGTGAGCCATAATGAGAGGTGTTTAGATAATGAGGGCTTTACCCTCATGAATGGATCAATGCTGAAATAAAATTGGCTTTTAGGAGTTGATGCACCATCTTCCACTTTTCTGCCATGTGAGGATCAGTGTTTATTCCTTATGAAGGGCAGTGCTCAGGGCACCATATTGAAAGTGGAGATGTGGTCCTTACCTGACAACTGAACCTACCAGTCCCTTGATCTAGGTATTCCAGCCTTCAGAACCGTGAGTAAATAAATTTCTGTTCTTTATAAATTACTCGGTCTGTGGTATTCTTCTATAGCAACATGAAACTGATGAAGACACACTTGTATAGAAATTTATCCAAAGGATATACTAATGGCCAATAAGCACCTGAAAAGTTGTTCAGCATTACTAATCATTAGGGAAATTCAAGTGAAAAAGTACAATGAGACATTACCTCACACCCATTAGAATGGCTATCAAAAAGCAAAACAAAAACAAAAACAAAACAGAAAATAACAAGCATTGGCAAGGAATTAAAATCGTTGTGCACCATTGGTGGAAATGTAAAACAGCTGCCACTATGGAAAACATTATGATGATTCCTCAAAAAGAAAGAAAGAAAACAGAACTACACTATAATCTAGAAATTCCACTTCTTAGAATATACCCCAAGGAATTGAAAGCAGAGCCTTGAGGAGATATTTATCCACTCGTGTTCATAGGAGCATTCTTCACATTAGGCAAAAGGAGGAAGCAACCCAAGTATTCATCAGTAAATGAATGGATAAAACAAAATACAGAATGTACATACAATGAAATATTATTCAGCCTTAAAAAGGAAGGGAATTCTGACACATGTTACAACATAGATGGACCTTGAGGACATTAAGCTAAGTGAAATAGCCAGTCACAAAATGACATATATGTATGATTCATCTTATCAGTGATATCGAGTGGTTAAATGCATTGAAAGAGAAAGGAGAATGGTGGTTTCTAAAAGCTAGTGGAATTAAAAAATGGGAATTTGTTGGCCAGGCGCGGTGGCGCAGGCCTGTAATCCCAGCACTTTGGGAGGCCGAGGCAGGTGGATCACGAGGTCAGGAGATGGAGACCATCCTGGCTAACATGGTGAAACCCCATCTCTACTAAAAATACAAAAAAATTAGCCCAGCGTGGTGGCGGGCGCCTGTAGTCCCAGCTACTGGGGAGGCTGAGGCAGGAGAATGGCGTGAACCTGGGAGGTGGAGCTTGTAGTGAACCGAGATTGCACCACTTCACTCCAGCCTGGGCAACAGAGCGAGACTCCATCTCAAAAATAAAATAAACAAACAAACAAATGGGAGCTTGTTTAATATGTATAGAGTTGCAGTTCTCAAAGATGAAAAAGTTCTGAAGTTAGATTGCAAAGAATGTGAGCATACTTAATGCTCTTAAAATGTACACTTCATCACAATCTTTAAGAACTAGCTTTTGGCTTTATTAATCAAGTCTATGTTTTTAATGTTCTCTATTTTTAAATTTTTGCTTTTATTTGTTGTAAGGTCTTCCTTTTGTTTTCCTTGTATCGATATATTTTTATTAGTGTGTAGAAGGTGGCTGATGGGCTCTCTAGGGTAGTGGCTGGAGTGTGTCAACTGAGGAAGTAGTTGGAGGAGTGTGTCAACTGGGAGGCTTCTCTTCAGGACGGGTGAGCTTGGGAACCCCTCCAATGTATTGTTAATGTAAGTAGAGCTATATGCTGCTGGTGGAAATCTTTTTTTTTTTTTGAGACGGAGTCTCGCTCTGTCGCCCAGGCTGCAGTGCAGTGGCACGATCTTGGCTCACTGCAAGCTCCGCCTCCCGGGTTCATGCCATTCTCCTGCCACAGCCTCCCGGGTAGCTGGGACTACAGGCGCCCGCCACCACACGTGGCTAATTTTTTGTGTTTTTAGTAGAGACGGCGTTTCACCGTGTTAGCCAGGATGGTCTCGATCTCCTGCCCTTGTGATCCGCCCGCCTCGGCCTCCCAAAGTGCTGGGATTACAGGCATGAGCCACCGCGCCGGGCCCTGCTGGTGGAAGATTTTTAAGTATTTTTCTCCTCGACAACGTTACTTCAACCATATACACATATCACAACCACACTTGCACACACATGCTTGCTATGGTGGTCTGTAAGTACTGGAAACCCTTCTTTGCTTCTCTGTCAGATTTCAATACTCTTTTAAGGGGCTCTTTCCAGGCAGATAATTTCTTTTTGGCTTTAGGAAAGAGTCAAATGCCAGAACTATATGTCACCGTGTGTGTGTGTGTGCGCGTGTGTGCGTGCGTGTCTGTGCATCCGTGCGTGCGTGTCTGTGCATGTGTGTGCATGTGTGCGTGTGTGTGCATGTGTGCGTGCGTGTCTGCGTGTGTGTGTGTGCGTGTCTGAGTGTGTGTGTGCGTGCGTGTGTGTGTGCGTGTGTGTGCGTGCGTGTGTGCCTGTGTGTGTGTGTGTGTAGCTGTGGGGACTCTTGGGAGAGGATGACCTTCTCTTACATTCTGAATATGCTATATCAATTACCTTGAAAATTATCCCAGAAATCTCTCAGGCTCTTTCTATTTGTTTTCTCTGTTCTTGGAGTTTCTCTAATTCTGTCATTGCCATGTAATTTTTTTGTTGTTGTTGGTTTTTTTATTGGGCAGGGCATGATGGGCTCATGCCTGTAATCCCAGCACTTTGGGAGGCTGAGAAGGCAGGCAGATCCCTCGAGTTCAGGAGTTTGAGACAAGCCTGGGCAACATAGTGAAACCCCATCTCTACAAAGAATACAAAAAATAGCCAGGCGTGGTGGCGCACACCTGTAGTTCCGGTTACCTGGGAAGCTGAGGTGGGAGGATTGCTTGAGCCCAGGAGGCGGAGATTACAGTGAGTTGAGATAACGCCACTGCACTCCAGCCTGGGTGACTGAGCGAGACCCTGTCTCAAAACAAAAACAAAAGCGAGACCCTGTCTCAAAACAAAAACAAAAGCAAAAGCAAAAAACAAGCAAAACAAAACTAAACAACAATTTAAAAACTCCATGAAATTATTTTTCTGATCTGTTTTTTAGGCTGTTTTTTTCCCCGTTTTGTTCCTGTATCTTAGACAATTCAATCACATCTATTTTGAGAAGATCCTCACAAATTTTGAGTCTAACATTAACTAGTTAAAAATGATGGGCATTTTTCCCTCAGTGTCTATTTTCTAGACCGTATGCTAGGTTCTTCATACGCATTATCTCTAACGCTCAAACACTATAGAACAGAGGCTTAATGTGGATAGAGACCATAGGATATCTTGGCCACTATGGTTTTCTTAGTGCCCAGCCCAGCTACCAGCACATAGTAGCTACTCAATATATTTGTTGAAGGAAAGAATGAAAACCCTTTATGATAAATAGCTTTATTACAATTTAACAGATGATGAAATCTTAGCTCAGACAGGTTTATTAGCCTGTTCTAGGTGGTAAGTACCGAAGACAGGATTAAAATACAGATTTATCTGTCCTAAAGTTGCTCTAATATGCTACAATACTATTATGAGGGGTTCTTTAAGTGCAACTTTAGAAAGGAGATATGAAGTAATCTTCTGAATCTGACTTGAATTCTGTTTTTTTCTCTATAATGTAGTTGTTTATCAAAATTTGCCCTTGTACATGATGCAAAACAATAGTCTGTTATCTAGCTCAATGGGCGCTGATTTTAGAGGGGAGAGATATGGCTTTAGAGCAGTTTATATTAACAAAGTGGGAGAATTCTGACTTATCACAGGTTCAGAAAGTGGCCCCACAGTATGAAATGATCAATGCAAAAACTAAGTTCATTTTAAGGCAAGTATATGAAAGTATGGTGTTCAAGGCAAGACCCGCTGTATTCTATCCTAATTAGCTCTCTTCTGAAGAATTCTATTTCTCTCCAGGATATTAGCAAAGCATGTGACATATGAGATGGCAAAGGAGCAGATCATGTTTAAAATCTGGCCATGCTCATGCTTTCAATGTATCTTTATTTGTCCCCCCAGACACTGTCTTCCTTTTTTACCTCACCATTCTTTACTATAGAAAAACTTACTGCCTTGTCTTCCTGTCCACTCTTGCCACTTCAGATCCATCCTGCACACAGCAGCCAGAGTGATATTTCAAAACAAAAATAAGATCTTGCCATACCTTTTATTAAAGGCTTTTAATAGCTCCCTGAGGTTCTAAAGATAAAATAGCATTAGAGATGATGCCTTTCATGAACGAGTCATTCCATCCTCTCTAGCCTCATATCCCATCACTCCCATTTCTCACACTGGGGGATATGACAATGCTGAAATGCTTTTGAGGTACACAATTGAGGTAATTTGATGAATTTAGGTAATGCAGTGTAGATATCCCATAAGAATATATATATATATATATACACACACACACACACATATATATACACACACACATATGTATATATACACATATATATGTATATATACACATATATACACACATATATATGTATATATGTATATATATACACACATATATATGTATATATGTATATATATACACATATACACACATATATATGTATATATATACACATATATACACACATATATATGTATATATGTATATATACACATATATACACACATATATATGTATATATGTATATATACACACATATATACATATATACACACATATATATACACATATATACATATATACACACATATATATATACACACACATATATATACACACACACACACATATATATATATATATATATATATATATATATATATATATATATGCATACATATATTTGAGACAGAGTCTCGCTCTGTTACCCAGGCTGGAGTGCAATGGTGCAATCTCAGCTCACTGCAACCTCCACCTCCTGGGTTCAAGCCATTCTCCTGCTTCAGCCTCCCAAGTAGCTGGGGTTACAGGTGCCCACCACCATGCCTGGCTAATTTTTGTATTTTTAGTAGAGATATGGTTTCACTATGTTGGCCAATCTGGTCTTGAACTCCTGACCTCAGATGATCACCTCCACCTCCCAAACTGCCGGGATTACAGGTGTGAACCACCATGCCCGGCCAAGAATATTTTATATACTCTAAATTCATGCTTCCCTATGCTATATGGCTAAGTGTAACTTTATGCTATGGATCTTAGGGTATAGGTCTCAGAATCCAATTAGATAAATACAATCAATGTGATTATTTTCAAATGTTGATTCATTAAAATTGGCAAATTGGCTGTATTCCAGAAAATATAAATCTTAATCTAAAATTTTCCTAAATTACAGATGTATTGGAGTTCATTGGCATATGAAAGACAATAGTTACAGGCAGACCAGAAGGCCTAGGTTTTAAAATCTAGAGATGTAAAATGTTCCTGGATGCATGAGGCAGACTAGCAGTTAGGAAAGGGAGGCCAGCTATGGCAAGGGGGACCTGGGCTGATCAGGTGGCTCAAGAGTCTGAGAGTTATCACAATAGCATTTCTCAGTTACCTAATCCAAGAGCAAACTTCTCAGTGTTTACTCTGGTTTGATTCATGTTCATTATTTGGGTTGTCTTGTCCCCTCTGTATTTTATTGTAGCCAAAAGAAACTACAGGATGTTTCCGGTGAATTTTATTCCTTATTCAGCCAATGATAAATAATTAGTCACTAGTTCATTTGTCATTTACTAGGAAACTACAATGTGATAGACACTCTGTTCGGTTCTAAGGTATATTACTCAAAGTGCTAATTTTTATAATAAACAGCCTTAAAATATGAGTGGCTTAATTTAATAAAAGTTTAGCTCTTGCTCTGATCAGAGCCTTATGTGGGTCAGTGGAAGAGACTCTTCTCCATGCAGTCATTCAGTGAGTTGGGCTCCTTTCATTGTGAACTTCACCCACTTTTTGGTCCTTGGAAGCCTCCTTCATTCAGTGGGTAGAATGCAAGAGAAGTAAGCCAGGCCTGGAAGTGGCACACATCATTGCTACTCACATGCCATTGGCTAACCTCAGTCACTTGGATGCACCTAAACAGAAGGGAAACTGGGAGATGCAGTTTTCCCGTGATTCTAGAAAGAAGAGAATACACATATTGATGAGCACTAGCAGAGTGGACACATGGGGATTATAAAGATTTAGCACTATAGTAATATCTTAAGACATTAACATCCGAAACTATGACTTTTAAGAGCACGTAAAAGAAAATCATGGCTGAGTGTGGTGGCTCACACCTGTAATCCCAGCACTTTGAAAGGCCGAGGTGGGCAGATCACTTGAGGTCAGGAGTTCGAGACCAGCCTGGCCAACATGGCAAAACCCCATCTCTACCAAAAAATATAAAAAATTAGCCAGGTGTGGTGGCACATGCCTATAATCCCAGCTACTCAGGAGGCTGAAGCAGGAGAATCGCTTGAACTGGGGAGGTGGAAGTTGCAGTGAGCCAAGATCGGATCACTGCACTCCAACCTGGGTCACAGAGAAAGACTCTGTCTCAAAAATAAAATAAAATAAAATAAAATAAAATAAAATAAAATAAAATAAAATAAAATAAAATCACAGAATGAGTCCATGGCAAGCATAAAGAACTACAGGAAGCACCATTTTAATTGTTCCAAGAGTAAAGTAGGGTCAAATGCATAAGTGTCATAATTGTCAATGGATATTTACATAGGTAGACAAGGAAGTCTGTCATCCTTACTTTCCAAATGCCACTTTCCTGGCCTAAAAGTAAGAAACTCAATGAAACAAATCTCTTTACTAGTCAGTTCTATGTTGGGTAAGCAACTGTCTTTACCAAGTCATGAGCTACATATGCACAAAAGATACAAAGATGAATGGAACCAGTCCCTGCCCTCAGTCTAGTGAGGAGGCAGGCACAAAGGCAGTAACAGTGGATCCCTCAAGCATGCTCTTCACTTCTGGTCCAGGGACACACTGTCATGTAGGAAGCAAACAAGGAAATCATCCCTCTCAGCTTGGGGGACCAGGAATAGCAGAGAGATTGTCATTGGAGCCTTGGAGGAATGTGTGATGTCATGACAGAAAAAGGAGGGTTACAACAACAATAAAAGTAGAGAGAAAAGTATGCACAAAGTTGTAAGGAAATGAGGGTATGTAGCCTTTATAAGGAATTTCTTGGGAGCTGGTAGCTTATTTCAAAATGCCTCAATGGTCCTGAGAAAGACCTTGTAAAACAATTATTTGTTTTGGTGGCAAATGATTTAAAATAGCAACATTTGTATCAATCGTTACAGATAAAGACTATTATATATGAGATTCAGGTGATCATCTTAGATTTATTTAGTTTGATTATGGAGCAAGAGTTGTTTTATCATGTCAGTATCTGAACAGCCAAATAATTTGCAACCCTATTTATGCTATTTCATTTACATTCCTTTTATTTAACCTTATGTAACATTCATAATCTGTCAGACATGCCTAGGCACTTTACACATATTCACATATTTAAGTCCCTTAACAACCATGTGAGGTAAATACTATTACTATTTTATTCTACATATAAGGAAACTAAGGGTACAGAAATACAAAGTAAGCTGCTCAAGATTATGCAGCTAGTAAGTGGCATTAGACAAGTTTCAAACCCCAGAAGTCTGGCTCCAGAGTCTGGGCTCTTAATAGCAGACCAATTTTCAATCATCTTCTCATATTTGTTTTGTGATACCAGCCTTGCAGTTCACAAGGATTGAGCAGAGTGAGATGGTCAAAATGTCAAATACAAAAAACAAAAACAAAACAACAACAACAACAAAAACCATGACTTTGGCAGGGGCGCTGAGGTTAGCTTTGTGGAGTGGGTCTGGACCAGAAAGCTCAGAGGAGAACGTGATAGTAGCCCGCTGAGGTACCGTAGCATGGCTATGAAGGCAGAGGAAGGCAGAGCTACCAACCAGACTGTGTGGAGAAACAGCAGCAGGCGCTGGCAGCAGGTGGGAGGGAGGAGTGAGAGGGAAGCACGACTTTCCGGCAGCATCCATCTGTTGTCTTGTTGCTTGTCTGCCAGGAGAATTTAGTTGATGACTTCTGAAAGCAAACTGCCCTTCACCTTAGAACATACTGTTGACAAACAATAGCAGTACTTACAAGTGAAGAAGTGAAGAGCTGGCTTGTTCACTTAGTGGTTCTTGATGGAAATGGGGCAGAGAACTTTCAATTCAGAAACTCTCAAAACACAGACCAGCCATCAGCTGCACTGAAATACCCCCAAAAGCCGCAAGCCTCTTGTACTAATAATAAATTCCACCTTTCTGTGGCTTCTCAACTTAAAGATTGTCAGAAGAGATAGGAGAGGGGAGAAACCCTCCCCTCTGCCTGGCAAGCCCCCAGTGAGGACAACTCAGGTTTGCACATGGGTGCATCAGTACCTCTGCAAATGAGTTTGGGTGCTGAAATAAACTGTAACTGTTCTAAAATCAATAAACTTTCTTTTATCAACTCAACCCATTGCGCTCTCTTTTCAATAGCACTGTTTGTTTCTTTTTAATTCTTTCATCTGGTCTTCCTTTGACCAGCGTGCCTCCCTAGTGTTCCAAGAGAAGTGTGCTTTGCTGAGGGAATCTTGGTCTGGTCGTTTGGATAAAGAGGTTGATTTCCCTCATCCCTCGTATTGTGAAGGTCAAGTTGACCAGCCTTGGGCAAGTCCTTAAACTTTCTGGTCCTCTCTGCTGCCCTGTCTGCTTCTCTAAAGCATGCTGTTTCCTCAGTGAAAGACTCATTCAAGTACAAAGAGTCAAGATGTGAAATCTTCCAAGCCTGCTGTGCCTGTTGCCTTCTGCACACCCTCAGCTCTGCCCTTAAGTTATTAGTTCAGAAGGGTTTGCAGACTTATAGACAGGCAGTTCTTTTCGTCTTCAAGTAAGTGACAAGCTATTCCGCCCCAAATCTGTTCACAGTGCTTGACACAGATTGGGCAACAGCGCATTCACTCTTGCTGGATCTGCATATATCTCCTAGAACATTTTCCTTTACTTTGTTTTACACCCAGGACACAACTTGTCAAATTACTGACCTGGTCTATCTTGGTAGCCTTTCATTTTATTTTATTTTAATTTTTTTTTCAAAGATTGTAACCTGCTTGACAGGAACTGCATTTGCCATTCTGATGGGAAACTGCTTTCTCAGCTCAGCTATTTCACTTCATCTTATACCAATGAAGAACTTGTTTTCAGATAAGAATTCATAGGAGCGATAAAGGTGACCACAGCATAAGCACAAATCACAAGAAGTTGACAGGTACTGGGGTTAATTGATTTCAGTTCACTTGAAAGGTCAGTACATCTTCTTTCCTGCTTCTAGTTCCCAGGTTGAAGCTCCTGTAAACTAATGGACGGTTTTGGTTTTCCCAGGTTTCCTTAATCCACAGGCCAGTTGTGTTCAGTCTCCCCTAGGCTTCTCTTAACAAAGTGACAGCAGGTTTTAATCTTCCTGTACACACTGTGGCAGCTGTGCAAACATTTCATTAACAAAAGTGGGAATCATTAAACTTGTGGGTAACTTACACATAGCATTTGATATCAGTAGACCTTAAGATGCCCCAAAGAAAGGATAAATCTGTGCACCTTAAACGCTACTTTATTTCAAAAAGCTTGAATAGTCATAGCAAAGAAATTAAACTCCATCTAGGGAATTAAAATATGTAAGAAGGATTTCTGAATTAGTATTCAGTTACAAAATTCTCTAAAATTATATTGCAGCAGAAATAAAGCAACTTCCAGGCAAAAACTCACATTCTGAATTGAGAAGCTATAGAACGTGAGGCAGGCAAGGCTTTTAAATGAAAAACTGTTTAATATTTTAATGCTATCGTCCATAAGGTTTTGGAATTATGTGGACATTTCTTCTCAAGATACGAGATTGTTCAAAGATAGCTGCAAAGTTGACACTGGGCTTTGATTCATCTTGGTTTTATTACCACTAAAGTGATTTATTATGTTTATTTCATAGTTCTCCTCTCTGAAAATTTTTAATGCATTGCTGACATTTTATTAGTTGAAAAAATTTTATATCAAAAATCCGCCTATGGATTCTGTACTTACTAGTGTGAAAAGTAAGGACAAATCCCTACTGCCTTCCTAGTTCATTTTTATTTGAACATAACTCACTGTGTGCACCAACAGAAAAACTTATTACTCATTTTCTGTTTTAAAGATACAGGCTACTGTATTTTTAGGTGTATACCTCTTCTGCCATGCAGTCCTCCCTAATCCAAGAGAGAAAATCACATTTTCCTTAATCCTGCCATTGGGCTTCTTATACCTCCTTCATAGGATTCACAACAGTTCACTGCACATACGTGTTGCTCTTTAACTACCTAGCAAACTCCTTGAGACCAGGGCTGATTTAAAGCCGTGTTTACCCAAAACCAACACTTAGCCGCAAATGTCCAATGAATGAAGCCCTTGGGTGAACCACAACGCATATGGTGGTAATCTTAGATTCCTCCTGTTCAGTTTTTCCTTTCAGTTAATATAGACTTTTATTCCCAGTTGTGTGCTTGGTCTGGGTAAGAGTATAGGGTTGGGTGAAAAAAGGGTAAAAGACACAGTCTCTACCTCTAAAGGGCCTACATGTTAGAAAGGAAATTTGCAAATCAACAGATGTATTTGGCAGGTTTAATTTTGAAAAATCTTGTGGTTATTTGGTTTAAATTAATTTGTATTACTTTTTAGAAGATTCCTTCACAAAAATCCCATTAAGTTTAAGCAAAAAGGCTCAATCTCTGCAATTCTCCTTTGTCTTTCCTGCAATTGATATTGATTTTTATTTAGCAAAGCAGTTGAATTCCACTATGCATTATGCCTGTGCCTGAGGGACCCGTAATGAGGGAAATTGTGTAGGTCTAATGCATATAAAACTTTTCAAATATTAGTGTCTTTAGGAACAATCTGGGGTGCCTGCATATTCCAGGGACTTATGACAAAAGAATCTGTTCCTGCAGATTTGGTATGAGGCCCAGGAAAGTGGTGTCTAACAAGTTTCTTACTCGTCCCCACCAATATACACATAGAGCAGCTCCATGTGATTCTGATGTAGGTGATCCACAAACTACAGAGAGAAAACCTCATTTTAGGCCAGCCCAACCCACTGCCCACCTAATAACTCATTTTCAATGTAGATATAAGTACTCAGTTCCTAAAACTAACTGCCAGTGCCTGGGAATGGGGTGAGGAGAGGACATCTGCAAGGAAGTGACATTTGAGTTAGGCACTAAGGGGTGAGAACAGATGATTCAGAGAAAACTTTCCAAACAGAAGGAACAGAAACAAAAAGGTTTGGGGTTGAAAAGGATAATGTATAGCAAGGCAACAGCAATTAGGCAGGGGTGTCTCAAATAAAGGATACCCGGAGAGTAGGAAGAGTCCCAGCTCTACTATTTCCTAGCTGAATGACCTTCTAATGGTGCATAACCTCTTTGAAACTCAATTTCCCTCACCAGTAAAATTGTGATAATAACACCTACCAAGCTGTAAGAATTAAGCAAGGTATATGTAAAGTACATAGCACAACACTTGGAGCAAAGCAGGCCCTTGGGAAAGGATAGTTGTTATTACCAATACTATCCATATGGTTGGAATTTTCCATTAGTAAAGTGAGTCCATGTACAGAAGGTAAAAAGGAGAATATGAAATTCAAAAAACACATTGATATGGTTTGGCTCTTTGTCCCCACCCAAATCTCATCTTGAATTGTAATCCCCACATGTCAAGGGAGGGACCTGGTAGGAGGTCATTGGACCATGGGGGCAGTTTCCATCATGCTGTTCTCCTGATAGTGAGTTCTCACAAAAGATTATGGTTTTAAAAGTGTGGAACTTCCCCCGTCCCTCTCTCCTGCTGCCATGTAAGACATGCCTTGCTTCCCCTTTGCCTTCACCATGATTGTAAGTTTCCTAAGGCTTCTCGAGCCATGCAGAGTTGTGAGTCAATTAAACCCCCTTTCTTTATAAATTACCCAGTCTCAGGTAGTATCTTTATAGCAGAGAACAGACTAATACAGAGAATTGGTACGGGGATAGTGGGATATTGCTATAAAGATAACCTGAAAATGTGGAAGCAACTTTAGAATTGGGCAACAGGCAGAGTTTGGAACAGTTTGGAGGGCTCAGAAGAAGAGAGAAAAATGTGGGAACATTTGGAACTTACCAGAGACTTGGAGGGCTCAGAAGACAAAAGGATGTGGGAAAGTTTGGAACTTCCTAGAGACTTGTTGAATGTTTGACCAAAATGCTGATAGTGATGTGAACAATAAGGTCCAGGCTAAGGTGGTCTCAGATGGAGATGAGAAACTTATTGGGAACTAGAGCAAAGGTCTCTTTTGCTTTGCTTTAGCAAAGAGACTGACGGCATTTTGCCCTTTCCATAGAGATACGTGGAACTTTGATCTTGAGAGAGATGATTTGAAATTGGAACTTATGTTTCAAAGGGAAGCAGAGTATGAAGGTTTGGAAAATTTGCAGCCTGACCACGTGGTACAAAGGAAAACCCATTTTCTGGGGAGGAATTCAAGACAGCTGCAGAAATTTGCATAAGTAACGTGGAGCCAAATGTTAATTGCCGAGATGATAGAGAAAATGACTCCAGGGCATGTCAGAGACCTTGGGGACAGCCCCTCCCACCTCAGTCCCACAGGACTAGAAGAAAAAAAATGGTTTTGTTGATCAGGACCAGGGCCCCTTCAGGACTTGGTGCCCTGCATCCCAGCCACTCCAGCTCCAGCTGTGGCTAAATGGGGCCAACATACAGCTCAGGCCATTGCTTCAGAGGGTGGAAGCCCCAAGCTTTGGCAGCCTCCATGTGGTGTTAGGCCTGTGGGTATGCAGAAGACAAGAGTTGAGCTTTGGGACCTCTGCCTAGATTTCAGAGGATATATGGAAACACCTGGATGTCCAAACAGACATCTACTGCAGGAACGAAGCCCTTATGGAGAACTTCTGACAGGGCAGTGCAGAAGGGAAATGTGGGTTCGGAGCCCCCACACAGAGTCCCCACTGGGGCACTACCTAGTGGAACTGTGAGAAGAGGGCCACCATTCTCCAGACCTCAGAATGCTAGATCCACCAACAGCTTGCACCATGCACCTGGAAACACTGCAGACACTCAACCACAGCTCATAAATCATCCAAAGGGGCTGTACCCTGCAGTACCACAGGGGCAGAACTGCTCAAGGCCTTGGGAGTCTACCCTTTGCATCACTGTGCCCAGGATGTGAGACATGGAGTCAAAGGAGATCATTTTGGAGCTTTAAGATTTAATGACTGCCCTATTGTGTTTTGGGCTTGCATGGGGCCCGTGACACCTTTGTTTTGGCTAATTTCTCTTATTTGTAATGGGAACATTTACCCAATGCCTGTACCCTCATTGTATCTTGAAAGTAACTAACTTGCCTCTGATTTTACAGGCTCATAGGTGGAAGGGACTTGCCTTGTCTTAGATGAGACTTTAGATGTAGACTTTTGAGTTAATGCTAGAATGAGTAAAGACTTTGGGGGACTGTTGGGAAGGCATGATTGGTTTTGAAATGTGAAAAGGTCATGAGATTTGGGAGGGATGAGGGGCAGAATGATATGGTTTGGTTCTGGGTTCCCACCCAAATCTCTTGCCAAATTGTCATCCCTACATGTCAAGGGAGGGATGGGGTGGCAGGTGATTGAATCATGGTGGCAGTTTCTCCCATGCTGTTCTTTTGATGGTGAGGAAGTTCTCATGAGAGCTGATGGTTTTAAAGTGTGGCACTTTCTCATGCTCTCTCTCTTGTGCCACCATGTAAGATGTGCCTTGCTTCCCTTTGGCCTTCTCCCAAGATTGTAAGTTTCCTGAGGCCTCCCCAGCCATGCAGATCGGAGTCAATTAAACCTCCTTTATAAAATAAATTACCCAGTCTTGGGTAGTATCTTTATAACAGTGTGAGAATGGAATAATACACACATCTATTTTGCTTATTCATGAATTATCAAGACAATTGAGGTAAAACTTCAGCTGAGTTTTAATCCATCTATTCATTGAGCTACAACTCTGGACTACTTAAAATGGGTCCAACACTAGACAATTCTCTCTGTTCTTTTTCTCCTTTTCAATGTGTAGACACAGCTAGAAAGTAACTTTGTTCTGTTTCATCAAAGAATAAAACATCTGAATCCTGACATCCTGGCCCAGTCATAAGCCATACTTCCACTGCACAAACAGCATCCTGTTTCTTTAATAATGAACACTCCCTATGACCTTGAGGCTGAAGTCTGAGTTTCTTAGTAGAACCTGCACAGTTTCCACTGTCTGGCTGCTGCCCCCTCTCTGACCACTAACTTGAGGTAATGTGACATTTCAGTAGAATAAAGCTTTCGAGAACATAGCTGTAGCTCACATATCTTCTTCCCCCATTAAGCATAAAACTATTAGCTGAAGCTGAAATCGTAAATAGTCAATGTTTATTGTATCAAATGAGTTACATCTTGTAAGTACTTTGAATACTGCCTAGCTCTTGATAGCTGCTATCTACATGCTAAGTAAACTAAACTAAAAATAAAATACAGTAAAATAAAATAGAATAATAAAATATTTTCAACCTTATAAGGAAGGGAACCACATTACATACTCATTCTCTTCCCTCTTTTAAAAATTGCTCCTAAAATATTAATAGAATCTGGTTTGTGTGATTTCTTTTTCTATGTTTTGATTATTCCAAAATATATCACTTAGGGAAGTCTTTTTCAGCCCAATAATGGATCAGTGTGCAGTTTGGTGAATTATTAGAGCTGAGAAGAGACAAAGGAAGTGAGCAAGCAGATATTAAAGAATAAGCATTTTATTACTGTTTTACAGAGAAGTGGTTGAGAATCACAGTTGTAGGATTTTTAGAAATCTGCTCTCCATGCAGGCTGCATGATGTAAATCTAAGTGCATTACCTTCCCTATCTGTCCTCAAAGTCTGTGATGGGCTAAAATTATACTCTTGTTCTAGGCTGCTCTTTGTCCCGGCTTTGACTATTGCAAAGTATCTCAGATACATTTCTGAACATGACAGCAACATCCACTATACGTGTAAAATCCAGCAGGTTGGCAGGGCACACATCTTCACTGAAGCAGGGGTGTGAAATTTTATGCATAGTAAGCTATAAACAAGAAGAGCTGCGATGTGCTGAAATAGGGAAGGCATATTGTCCTCTGTGTATTCACATTAAATATAAGTCTGTAGTCTCAGTAAACTTAAGAGCACCTTTTGAGGGTGTTCTAATTTGTGTTCTTCCTGTACACAATGGGGCTTTACCATTAGCAAGTTATTTTTCTTGCCTCTTCTGGAACTTCTTATAGAAGTTTCTCTTCAACTTACTTTTGTGACTCCATAATTTTGTTTTAATTACCCTTGTGAGTGTTTTAGTTTATAGTTTTAGTAGGTTATAAATAGCCACCTGGCCCGAGCATTTGTCTCTTAACTGGGGCTTGTTGAGTGGGTAGAAATCAACATCCATTAAATTCCTGATCCCTGGAACTTCTGACACACTCACAGCCTAGTGGAAGAGAGAAGACATTGCAAAGTGAAGTAGAGCACTCATTTCAAACACAGTGCTCACTGAGTACTTGTTTTGTGTCAGACACTACACTGAGTATTTTTCCTGCAATAATTCCCACAACTCTGTAAGGTAGAGACTAGTATTATCCCCATTTTAATGTCCCCTAAGTACACAAATTCTCTCTCTAAAGGGTGCTTACAGTGGAAGTTGAAGTGGGGTAGGCAATGCAAGACTGCCTTTCCTACCCTTTTCAATGCCTCTTTCCTTGACATCATGTAGAAAACAAGTACTGTAGTGGCTTACTTAATTTTTTGGTTCTTGTTAAGGGGCTTTCCTGTGGGCATAGTTGTTCAATTTGGCCTTTCTGGGGTTGGGGGCTATTGATGCAGAATTTTTCTTTTTTAGCCTTCTTGATTCACCTCCTCTTCTATCCCAATTTTACAAATGACAAAATTGAGAGAAGGGAGGAAATTGTGAGCAGTCAATGTGTAACTTTATATTTGATTCATTTGATTCACCCCAGTTTTTCTTCAGTTGAAGATACCAAGAAGCGAAAATACCCTTGATGTCGAGACTGTGAATGAAACAGATTTGATGAATGACAAGACTGTGAATGGGAATAGTGCTCAGACTTCTTTTTAGTGACTGCATAAGAATAGACACTTCTAGGACTTGAATGTCCCTCCAATCCTTAAGAGTCAGATGGAAAATGCCCTCAGTCCTGAGGCTTGCTTTTCTATCATGAGAATCTTGGGAATAGTTATCTTTTCCTGTTTTATACATAAAGTTCTGGGTGTATCATTAATTTTCATTTGTTTATTATTTTTTCTTTTTTTAGCTTTTATTTTAGATTCAGACGTACAGGTGAAGGTTTGTTACATAGGTAAACTCATGTCATGGGGGTTTGTTGTATAGATTATTTCATCACCAGGTATTAAGCCTAGTACCCAATAGTATTTTTTTCTGCTCCACTTCCCCCTCCCAACCTCCTCCCTCAAGTAGACTCCAGTGGCAGTTTTTCACTTCTTTGTGTTTATGAGTTCTCATCGTTTAGCTCCCACTTATAAGTGAGAACATGTGGTATTTGCTTTTCTGTTCCTGCATTAGTTTGCTAAGAATAACTCCAGCTCCATCAATGTCCCTGCAAAGGACATGATCTTGTTCCTTTTTATGGCTGCATAGTATTCCATGGTATATATGTAGGAAATTTTTATTATGCCGTATGTCATTGATGGGTATTTAGGTTGATTCCATGTCTTTGCTATTGTGAATAGTGCTGCAATGAACATTCACGTGCATGTGTTTTTATGGCAGAACAATTTATATGCTTTTGGGTGTATACCCAGTAATGGAATTGCTGGGTCGAATGATAGTTCTGCTTTTAGCTCTTTGAGAAATTGCCACACTGCTTTCCACAATGTTTGAACTAATTTACACTCCTACCAACAGCATATAAATGTTCCCTTTTCCCCGCAAACTTATCAGCATCCATTATTTTTTGATTTTTAATAATAGCCATTCTGACTGCTGTGAGATGGTATCTCATTGCGGTTTTTACTTGCATTTCTCTAATGATCAGTGATACTGAGGTTTTTTTTTTTTTTCGTATGCTTTTTGGCTGCATGTATGTCTCCTTTTGTAAAGCATATGTCCATGTCATTTGTCCACTTTTTAATGAGGTTGTTTTTCTCTTGTAAATTTAAGTTCCTTATAGATGCTGAATATTAGACCTTTGTCGAATGCATAGTTTACAGATTTTTAAAATCATTCTGTAGATTGTCCAGTCACTCTGATGATAGTTTCTTTTGCTGTGCAGAAGCTCTTCAGTTTAATTAGATCACATTTGTCAACTTTCGCTTTTGTTGCAATTGCTATTGGTGTTTTTGTCATGAAATCTTTGCTGTCCCTATGTTCAAGGTGGTATTTCCAAGTTGTCTTCCAGGTTATTTATAGTTTTGTGTTTTACATTTAAGTCATTGATTCATCTTGATTTAATTTTTTTATATGGGGTTAGGAAAGTGTCCAGATTCAATCTTCTGCATATGGCTAGCCAATTAACCCAGTATCATTTTTTAAATAGGGAGTCTTTGTCCCATTGCTTGCTTTTGTCAGCTTTGCCAAAGAACAGATGGTTGTAGGTGTGTAGCCTTGTTTCTGGGCTCTCTATTCTGTTCCATTGGTTGATGTGCCTGTTTTTGTATTGGTACCTTGTTGTTTTGGATACTGTAGCCCTGTAGTATAGTTTAAAGTTGGATAATGTGATGCCTCCAGCTTTTTTCTTTTTGCTTAGGATTGCCTCGGCTATTTGGGTTATTTTGGTTTCCATATGAATTTTAAAACATTTTGTGTAGTTCTGTGAATAATGTCATTGGTAGTTTTATAGGAATAGCATTGAATCTATAAATTGCTTTGGGCAGTATGGCCATTTTAATGCCATGAATTCTTCCTGTCTCTGAGTATGGGATGTTTTTCAATTTGTTTGTGTCTTCTCTGATTTTCTGATTTCTCTGACCAGTGTTTTACAATTCTCATTGTAGAAATCACTCACATTCCGGGTTAACTGCCTTCCTAGGTACTTTATGCTTTCTGTGGCAATTGTGAATGGGATTACCTTCCTGATTTGGCTGTTGTTGGTGTATACGGATGCTATTGATTTTTGTACATTGATTTTGTATCCTAAGACATTGCTAAAGTTGTTCATTGGCTGAAGGAGCTTTTGGGCCAAGACTATGGGGTTTTCTAGACATAAAATCATGTCATCTACAAATAGGGATAATTTGACTTCCTGCCTTCCTATTTGTATGCCTTTTATTTCTTTCTCTTGCCTGATTTCTCTAGAGAGAAGTTCCAATATTGTGTTGAATAGCAGTGGTAATAGAGGGCATACTTGTGCCAGTTTTCAAATGGAATGCTTCCAACTTTTGCCCATTCATTGTGATGTTGGCTGTGGATTTGTCATAGATGGCCATTATTATTTTGTGGTATGTTTCTTCATTACCTAGTTTATTGAGAGCTTTAACATGAAGTGACATTAAATTTTATTAAAATCCTTATCTGCATCTATTGAAATAATCGTGGTTTTTGTCATTAGTTCTGTTTATATGATGAATCACATTTATTGATTTGTGTATGTTGAACCAATCTTCTATCCTGGAGATGAAGCCTACTTGATTGTGATCAATTAGTTTTTGATGTGCTGCTGGATTTAATTTGCAAGTGTTTTGTTGAGGATTTTTGCATCAATTTTCATCAAGGATATTGGCCTGAAGTTCTTTTTTTTTCTTTTAATTGTATCTCTGCCAGGCTTGGTATCAGGATGATGCTGGCCTCACAGAATAGAATAAGTTGGTGGGGAGTCCTTTCACCTTAATTTTTTGTGATAGTTTTAGTAGGAATGGAACCAGGTACCATTATGTGAACGGTAGATTTCAACTGTGAATCTATCTGGTCCTGGGCTTTTTTTGGTTGTTGTTGTTAGTAGGATATTTATTAGTTATTCAATTTTAGAGCTCATTACTAGTTTGTTCAGGTAATCAATTTCTTCGTGATTCAGTCATAAGTGGGGTGTATATGTCCAGGAATTTATCCATTTCTTCTAGGCTTTCTACTTTATGTTCATTGAGGTTTCCATTGTAGCCTCTGATGCTTATTTGCATTTCTGTGAGGTCAGTGATAACATCCTCTTTGTCATTTCTAATTGTGTTTATTTGGATATTCTCTCTTTTTTTCTTTATTAGTCTAGCTGGTAGGCTATTTTATTAATTAAAGAAAATCAACTCTCGGATTTGCTGATATTTTGAATGTTCTTTTATGTCTTGATTTCCTTCCATTCAGGTCTGATTTTGGTAATTTCTTGTCTTCTGCTAGCTTTTGTGTTCATTTATTCTTGCTTCTCTAATTCTTTCAGTTGTTATGTTAGGTTGTTAATTTGATATATTTCCTACGTTTTTATGTGAGCATTTACTGTCATGAATTTCCTCCTATCACTGCCTTAGCTGTGCCCCAGGTTCTGGTATGTTGTATATTTGTTGTCATTAGTTTCAAAGAACATTATTTCTGCCTTAATTTCATTATTAACCCAAAAGTCATTTGGAAGCATGTTGTTTAATTTCCGTGTAATTGCATGGTTTTGAGTGATTTTCTTAGTCTTAACTTCTACTTTTATTGCATTGTGATCCAAGAGTGTGTTTGGTATGATTTGAGTTCTATTTTCTGAGGATTGCTTTATGTCCAATTATGTGGTTAATATTAGAGTATGTGCCATTTGGTGGTAAGAAGAATGTACATCCTGTTGTTTTTTGGTGGGGAGTTCTGCAGAGGTCTATCAGGTCCATTTGGTTCAATGTTGAGTTCAGATCTTGAATATCTTTGTTAATTTTCCACCTTCATGAGCTGTCTAATACTGCCAGTGAAGTGATGAAGTCTCCCAATATTACTGTGTGGGAATCTAAGCCTCTTTGTAGGTCTCTAAGAATTTGCTTCATGTTCTTGTTGATATGAACCCTTTACCATTATGTAATTCTCTTGTCTTTTTTGATCTCTGTTTTCTTAAAGTCTGTTTTGTCTGAAAGTAGAATTGCAACCCCTGCTCTTTTTCTGTTTTCCATTTGTTTAGTAGATTTTCCTCTATCCCTTTATTTTGAGTTGATGTGTGTCATTACTTGTGCGATGGGGCTCTTAAAGACAGCATACCACTGGGTCGCGCTTGTTTATACAGCTTGCCATGTTGTGTCTTCTAAACGGAACATTTAGCTCATTTACATTCAAGATTAGTATTTATATGTGGGGATTTCACCTTGTCATTGTGTTGTTAGCTGGCTACTATGCTGGCTTGTTTATGTGATTTCTTCATAGGGTCACTGGTCTGTATTTTAGTGGGTTTTTGTATTAGCTCAACATTTGCTTATCTAAAAATGATTATATTTATCCTTTGCTTAGGAAGGTTAGTTTCACTAAATAAGACATTCTTGGTTGAATATTTTTTCTTTAAGAATGTTGACTGCAGGCCCCAAACCTGTTCTGGCTTGTAGGGTTTCATCTGAGAGGTCCACTCTTAGCCTGATGGGGTTTCCTTGGTAGGCGACCTACCCTTTCTCTCTAGCTGCCTTTAACATTCTTTCTTTCATTTTAACCTTGGAAAATCTGATAATTATGTGTCTTGGGGATGATCTTCTAGTGTAAAACCTTGCAGGGGTTCTCTATGTTTTCTGAATTTCACTGTTGGCCTCTTTAGAAAGCTTGCGGAAGTTTTCATGGATGATACCATGAAATATGTTTTCCAAGTTGTTTGCTTTCTCCCCCTTCCTTTAGAAATGCCAATGATTCATAGATTTTGTCTCTTTACATAATCCCATACTTCTCAGAAGTTTTGTTTGTTTCTTTTTTCTTTATTTTTGTTTGACTGTCTTTCAGAAACCAGTCTTCAAGTTCCGAATTTTTTTCCTCATCTTGTTCTATTATGCTGTTAATACTTGTGATTGCCTGGTGAAATTTTTGTATTGTGTTTTCAGCTCTGTCAGATCCTTTAGGTTCCTTTTGATACTGGCTATTTTGTCCTTCAGCAGGTGTATCATTTTATTGTGATTCTTAGTTTCCTTGGATTAGGTTTTACTATTCTCCAGAATCTCAGTGATTTTTATTCCTATCCATATTCTGAATTATATTTATTTTATTTCAGCCAGTTCAGCCTGTTTAAGAACTCTTATTGGAGAACTGGTGCAGTCATTGGAGGACATAATGACACTCCGGCCATTTGAGTTACCAGAGTTTTTGCATTGGTTCTTTCTCATTTCTGCATGTGGATTTTCATGTAACTGCAGTGCAGATTAAGTACAGTCAACAGACTTCTTTTCTGGATGTTTTCACAGGGCCAAGGCTTTGTTCAGGGTCTTTATTTGAAACTGACTTATTTTCTTTGGTTTCACAGTGAGATATGTTAGCAAGGTATTTTTGGTGTTGAAGCTTTGGAGTGTGATCCAGTAGGTGGCGCTTAGGCATATCTGTTGGTTGGCAGACACTTGCTCAGTTGTGTGGCTCCCCTATGTTTCCTCACAGTTGCAGTCATGTTCTCTCTCAATGTGGTGAAACTGTGGGTTCCTCTTCCCCTTTAGTGCTAGCTGTAGATTGTGGCTTGGCACTCCTGCGCTGCCCACAATAACTCTGGGGAGATCTCAGGGTTTATGTTTCTCCCACAACTTGGAGACAGCAGAGGAAGGGACCTTAGTAGTGGTTGTGGCCAAGGGTCTTTTGCTTGATTCCTGGGGGCTCCACCCCAGATAGATGCAGATCAGCAATTGCTCAGTGCAGTCATTCCAGGATAAAAGGTTTGTGCTGTGGGCCCAAGCCAGGGCTTCTCTGTCAGGTGACAAGCAGTAGGGATGTGTGGGACCCATGGGAGACAGACTGGCCTCCTCTTCTTGGGTCAACTGCAGCTTGTTGGAGGTGTGGATAAGGCACCAAGGTCTTTGCTTCTTTGTTAGTCTGAGGGGTAGCAAGGGTAGTCTTACTGCAGAGGCAGTGGCAGAGAGGCTTTCAGTTGCCCCTAGGGGCTCTATCCAGAGAGTTGCAGTGCTGCTGCTACAGGCTCAATAGCCCTGGAAAGAGGTGGCTGGAGACCAGGACTGGAGGACCTGCCTGGTGAGGAGATATAGAAATGGGCACCCACGTAATAATCTGGCCACTTTTTGTAGGGATGCTGTGGTATGCTGAGGGTCTGCTCCAGTCCCTAGTCTCTTTGGATATTCCAGTAGCTGGAGGTATCACTAATGAAGGCTGTGAAACAGCAAAGATGGACGCTTGCCCCTCCCTCTGGGAGCTCTGTTCCAGGAAGGTACGGACCTGTTGCAGGCTCATATGCCCCTTTAGGAGGTGGCTGGAGAACCCGGCTGGGACAACCTACTCAGTGATGAGAAACAGAATTGGGGACCTGATTTAAAATGCAGCCTGGCCTTGTTTTTGTAGAGCAGATGTGCTGTGCTGTGCTGGAGATCCACTCAAGTCCCCAGTTGCCTCAGAGTCTCCAAAGCCCAAAGGGTGGAATGAGTAAGTCGCCCAAATGGCATAGATGGAGTCCTATCCCTCCCTCTGGGAACTCCGTCTCAGGGAGGTTTTGATACCTCTGTCAGCCAAAACACACCAGTGGGGGTAGGTGGAGGCCCCAGTTAGGAGGTGCTGCCCTGTGTCAAGGAATGGGATCAGAGACTCACTTAGAACAGCAGTCTGGCCACATTTTCATAGAGCAGCTAGCTGTGCTGTGCTTGGGGTCCGCTTAACCCATGGATGCATCAGACTCTCCAACGTCCAAAGGGTGAAACAGTTAAGTTGCCCAAACAGCAAAGATGCCATCCCACTGCCCTCTCTGGAAGCTCCATCCCAGGGAGGTTTGAAACACCTGTCAGCTGGAGAACACTGGCAGGGGTAGCTGGAGATCAGAGTTGGGATGGCCCACCTGGTGAGGAGGAACAGGATCAAGGAAACTCCAACGTCCAAAGGGTGAAACAGTTAAGTTGCCCAAACAGCAAAGATGGCATCCCACTGCCCTCTCTGGAAGCTCCATCCCAGGGAGGTTTGAAATGTCTGTCAGCTGGAGAACACTGGCAGGGGTAGCTGGAGATCAGAGTTTGGATGACCCACCTGGTGAGGAGGAACAGGATCAAGGAACTTACAAAAGCATTCTGGTTACATTTTTGTAGAGCAGCTGTTCTGTGCTGGGGGCTTGCTTCAGTCTCCAGTTACCTCAGACTCTCCAAAGTCCAAAGGCTGGAACAGCTAAGTTGGCCAAACAGCAAAAATGGTGGCCCACCCCTCCCCCCAGGAGTTCTGTCTCGCACTACTACCAGCAGCTAGCTGTAGTTTCAAGCCAGTGGGTCTTATCCTGTGAGTTGCTGTGAATGTGGGGCCCGAAGACTGTTGCTGCTCAGCCTCCTGGATTCAGCACCTTTTCTAGAGCTATGCACTGAGATCTAATCTCCCACTTTCCTGGAGTTGCAGTTGCTTTTGCCGGGAAGCCTGAAAGGCCTGGCTATCTAAGGCTCCAGAATATCCACATGTGCTTGAGAAGCTGCTCTGAGGAGACTCCACATAGCTCTGTGTGTCAGACTTAAGGCCCTGGTGAAGTGGGTCCATGAGGGGATCTCCTGACCAGAGGGTTGCAAAGATTTGTGGGAGAACCATGATTCCTGGGCTTGCACATTCAATCACCACTTCACTGAGTGGGAGAGATTCTCCTGGCTCCATGTCTCTCCTAGGTGGGCTGTCATGCTCTCTTGCTTTTCTCCATTCTCCGTGAGTCAAATTGTTTCCTTCATTTGTCTCAATGGATGTACCTAGATGTTTCAGTTGAATTTGCTGTATTTACTTGCCCTTTGTGTTCCTCTCCATGAGAGTGGTATACATTAGCTGCTTCTAGTCAGCCATTTTGGCCACCCCACCATCATTAATTTTTATAATTCATTTAGGACAATGGTCAACTTCAGACTCTGAAGACAGAATTTTTGAGTTTACAAAAAAAAAAATCCAACCATTTGGGAGGACCTTCCAGCTCTTCTCTTTTCTTGCTGTATGTCCCTAAAAGAGTTATTTACTTTCTTTTTCTGTGCCTTAGCATCTTTATTTGTAAAATAGAATTTGTAATGCTCCTTATGTGTTTGTTGGAAGAAATTAGAACTTGCCTAGCCAGGAGAGGCACTCAATAAATGTTACCTGTAAATATATATATACACTTGGAAATTCGTCTCATTTTTCTTTGGACTTCTTTTAATCTTTTGTCTCTACCATTTTGTAGTGGTAACCAAACTTCATGTATAACCCCATCTATGTCTTTTCTATATACCACTGATGCACCCATGCTTGGTTGGTGCACCTTGCCAAGTTTCTTTACAATTTTTCATCCTTATATTTGATTTAGATTCACTTACATTTCTACCATTGAATAGTCTGTTTGCCTGGTTCATGCAAGTAGACACTCAGTTAAAAAGAATGCTGAACTCACTTAGAAAAAACATTCGTTTAAATCCTATACTTCAGTGCTGTTTCCTAATTTCTACAGATTGAAGAATCTTCCACACAAGATGCTGTAGAATGTGTGCAGAAGAAGTGTCCAATAATGAGCCATGAGAATCTAGTAAACATTCTGTTTATTCAAAAAACATTTGGGAGGACCTACTATGTGCTAGACTCTGTGCTAAGCACTGGGGATGCAAAAAAAAAAATCCTTGCCATTTAGAAGCTTGTAATCTAGTGAGAAAAGCACAAGTAAGGAAATGCTTAGAACAGAGTGTGTTAAGTTCTAGTCTAGATAAATAAAAGCCACTGTGAGGTGCCTGGAGGAGGACATAGTACAGCCTCCTTTTAAAAGTGGTTCAGTTTAGAGAATGAGAAAATGTTCTCACAGAACTTTTATCCAGGCCTGCCTCATCTCACACTTGCAAGACTGCAGTAGCCCCTCAACTCTTCTTTATAGCTCCACCAACTCCAATCTATTTTTGGCAGAAATACGGGTGAATTTGTCAAAAAAATGGCAAAGAAATGAAATTGATCAAACTCAAACGTGACAAAAGAAAATACACTTTGAAACTGAACATCTCCTGTAACGGTACAATTGTACACACACAGACACATACATACACATACTCTTTCTCACACACACATAATTCCAGCACACTAAATTTCATGCACCTGAAAGCAATTTTGTAATGATTTTATTTGCTTCTATGCATTTCTTGCCATTTGTTATTCTCATAAAATATTTTTTTCATTTCTGTAAATGATTGTAACGTTCCACAGTTTTTAAGTGAGTTTTTGTTATTTCATTTTATTCATTTTTAATTAGAAAAGTTTATTCATTTTTAATTAGAAAAAATGATTCATTTTTAGCCAATTATATTGGCACTGCATGTTTTTTAATGTTGCTTCAATTTTAAAATGTTGCCTCTGGCTGTAAATGAATTCTTAGGAAGTAAAATAATCAAAAGTAATGTTACTAGCCACTAGTTCACTTAACAACTTTGGTTCATCTCAAGGTGATTTTAGAGCATGTTTTATATTCCCAATTTTTTCAATTAGCTATATAGAATTTTGTTTTTTACATTTTAATTCATTTTTTAACCAGCAAGGCTTATTTAATCTATTTGGTATTTTTAAACCATTGTAAATTTATTTTTAATTTGTACTTATTTTCTTCTTCATAGGAAAGCAAAACAAAAAGAAATCTTATAGCAGGAATAGGAATCTTATAGCAGTAATAGGTTTTGGTGTTTGGATAATTTAAAATAGGCATTTCAGTTTTAGAGATTGATTTAGTATTCAAGTCAAAATGTGAAATAAAGCGATGAGAAATAGATCATTCTTCATTTGTTAATTATTATGAGTACACATTTTGTGTCTTTTACCATACCTAATTAGATATTCCATTCCCTTAGATTGGCCATTTATGGTGAATAAGATAAGTAGACAAGACCTGCTGAATACTAACCCAACTACTTCCTGAAAACGTTCGTTTTCTGTGACTTCACTGTTTCAGCTTATCTGCCATTTTAACCAGTTGTTTTAAACCAAAATCTTGAATTTCTTTTCTGCACTGGCTCCAGAGTTCAGCACTTGAAACCTGCCTGTCACGGAAGCTTCCCTTGCTCAAAAATGTCATCTACCTTACTATCATAGCAAATTACAAACTTCTTAGCTTAGCATTTAGTCTTATGTTCATAAGAGATAATCAGTTACTATTTGTTGGCTTTAAGAATAGTAATAGTGTACTTCTAGTGAGATTACCATGCACTAAGCACTTTGCTAAGTGCTTTCCATAAATTATGTGATATAGTCCCTTAAGATAACTTTATGTTACAGGTGCTTTTGTTATCTTCCTTTTCCAGGTAAGGAAGCAGGGACTTGAAGAGATTAATAACTGCCCCAAGGACACAGAAAATTTGAACTCACTTCTGTTGGACTTTCATGTTCTTTACATTTCTTTCAACATATATCACTAGTCTTACTTCTATGGGTCTAAATCCTAGCTTTGCAAGTAATTTTTAATTTTAAAACATTATTATGGTGAAATACACATTAAACTTAACTTTGAGCCATTGTAAACTGGACAATTCAGTTGCATTAAGTACATTCAGAATGTTGTGCAACCATCACCATTATCCACTTCCAGACATTTTTGTTATCCCAAACAAAAACTATGTAGCCATTAAGCAGTAATGCCCTATTAACCCTTACTCCCACCCCTGGTAACCACTCTTCTACTTTCTCTCTCTGTAAATCTGCCTATTCTATGTACCTCATGTAAGTGAATTAAGTTAATATTTCAGTACTTGTTTTTGTGTGTAGCTTAGTTCACTTAGAAAATGTTTCCAAGGTTCATCCATGTTTTAGCATGTATCAGAATCTATTTTCTTTTTAAGGGTGAATAATATTCTCTTATGTGTATATACCACATTTTGTTCATTTATTCATCGGTTGATGGACATATGAGTTGCTTCCACTTTCTGGATATTGTGAATAATATTGCTATGAATATTGGTGTTCAAGTGTTTGTTAAGTCCCTGCTTTCAATTATTTTGAGTATAGGCCTACCCATGGAATTGCTAGATCAAATGATAATTTCGAGATCATAAAATTCTAATTCTATGTTTAACTTTTAAAAAAACTTCCATACTCTTTTCCACAGCAGCTGCACTGTTTTCCATTTTCACCAGCAATGCACAAGGGTTCCAATTTCTTCACATCATTGATAACACTTAATTTATTTTTCTTTTAATAATAGCCATCCTAATGAGTGTGAAATGGTATTTCATGTTGGTTTTTACTTATGTTTTCATAATGACTAGTGATATTGATAGTCTTTCTATGTGGTTATTAGCCATTTGTATATTTTCTTTGGAGAAATGTCTTTTCAAGCCCTGATATGGTTTGGCTGTGTCCACACCCAAATCTCATCTTGAATTGTAGTTCCCATAATCCCCACATGTCCTGGGAGGGAACCAGCAGGAGGTAATTAAATTATGGGGGTAGGGTTTTCCCGTGCTGTTCTTGTGGTAGTGAATCAGTCTCATGAGATCTGACGGTTTTATAAAGGGCAGTTTCCTGCACATGCTCTCTTGGCTGCTGCCATGTAAGATGTGCCTTTGTTCCCTCTTCACCTTCCACCATAATTGTGAGGCCTCACCAGCCACGTGGAACTGTGAGTCCATTAAACCTCTTTTTGTTATAAATTACCCAGTCTCATGTATGTCTTTTTTAGCAGCATGAAAAGAGACTAATACAAGCCCCTTACCTATTTAAAAACTGGTTTGTTTCTCTTTTGTTGTTGAGTTTTAAATTTTTATTTAAAATATTTAAGAAGTGTGAACTACGTATAGGGAACTACTGTGTTAAACCATTTTGAGGGATTAAAAAATAAGATAGTTCTGGCCCTCAAGTAGTTGTGCTACTGGTGCACTTAAGACAAATATACAAAAGATGAATAGATGAAGATGAGAAGTTTCCAAAGAGTCAGTAGCAAAGGGCACAAGAAGGAGACATGACATCTTTTCTTTTTAAAGTGTTTTGAGAAGTAATCAGATAATCCTGCATGAAATCAGTAGCAATGGAAATGAGCTTTAAAGGATGGATTGAATTTCAACAGACATCCATAGGACTAGGAGAACATTCAGGTAGAAGATACAGCATAATTTCAAAAAATGCAGGAAATTTTTGTGGACCATCAACTAGTTCAGTTTGCTCACCAAGGTTGCATAAAGCTTTACTGTAGAGGACCTTGAATGTCAGAGTAATGGATTTCTAACTACTTTAATAAGCAGTTGGAAGCTTGTAGAAATTTTTGAGAAGGAGAAAGAGCAGAAGAGGCATGTAACTTAAATATTCCTTCCATTCTCATGCTTTTGTTTAGCAGTATATGTTAGATACTTTGCACATAACAGGCATGCAGTAAATAATTAGTTGGTAGCACAGAACCATATGTACCAGTTCATTTTCTGATTCATCATTTATCTGAATACATGGAATATCAATGGAATTTTTAACAATCTGACTCTCTATATAATTATTTTGTCAAAGCTACCAATGCTGTTCTAGAATAATGAATGGGTTACCTGAGTGTGTCTTTTATGCCGATGGATTTTACAGAAACTGCAGCTGTTTTATCAGAATACATCTTTGCTGGGACATTTAAGAAGAAAATAGAGCTATTATAAATAGAACACAGGACTTCAAACCAGGCCTCAATCGTTTTTCTAGCTGCAGATATGAAACCCTAGTCGGTTCCAGCCTACACTCTGTGATTCAGTCCTGTGATGGTAAACATGAATAGCTGTAATTTTTTTTTTCAAAATAGAAACAGTTTACATTTAAATCAACACAGAGAAGGAAAAGGCTTTCTTACAGTCACCAGATTAAATGGCATATTTTTCTTCTTCCACACAAGAATAGTGTTTGTGGTTTCTGAGATCAGCAGAAATTGAGGCATTGGTGAACTTTAGTGCTTAAAATGGTTTCATCTTCTTATGATTCAAGAATAAACCAGAAGGCCAATTTAAAACAATTCAGATTCACTCTACATGGTTAACATTTACACCACATAAAGACATTATTGTCAAAAAGCAAAAGGGAAACAAAAAGTTCAGAAGTTGCAATAAACTGGTGTGAATAGTTGAAGGTGAGGATCACTATATTTTTTGAATGCTTACATCGGATCAGACAATGTGATGGACATATGACATGTTCTCCCCAACATTTCTGTGGATTAGATGTTATTCACCTAAAAGTGTAGACAAGACAATAGTTATGTAGAGTTATGCAATAATTAGGCTTAGTCAACAGCTGTCTTCAGAATATATGGCTTAACACAGCAAGGGTTAACTCCTCATTCTTGTCATAGTCTAATTGGGTCAACAGGACATTTCTACTTCATGCAGTCATTGAGGAAGTTGATGGGAGGTCATTTCACCAAGTGCTCACACCGTCTTCTAGGGCTTTGAAATTCTCCATTGGATGTTTTGCATCCAACTGATAGATGAGGGAAAGAAAAACCAAGGAGGATGGCTTGAGAGGTGAGAGAAACTTAACTAATCTACTTCAGCACAAGTTGATGTACTGAAGTAGATTCTTTTGTTATGATGCTATAAAAACCCAAGTCCTAATCCCTCTTTTGAGTTACCCATCTGTGAATGCTCCCATGTATATGCCTGATGCACATGTTAATACATTTGTTTGTTTTCATCTCGTTAATCTTTTGTCAGTGTCATTTACAGTGCCCCTGCCAGTAAATCTAAGATGGGTAGAGAAAAAATATTTTCCTTCCCTGCACTATAATGTACAGCAAAGCCTACCCACAAGAAAGAATTATCCAACCCTAAATGTCAATAATGCTATGGTTGCGACACCTTGGTTGAGACTGTAAGATTTGTAAGGGTAGGGATTGTGCCTGCTATATTATTATGTCCCAAGCTCCTAGGACGGTCACTGGCATAATAATTATGTGTTGACTGAATAAACGAAAAGATAGATGAAGATGAAGGAAGATGAGAAAAAGACACCTGAGTCAAGATACTGCCCTTTTGTTAGGTGCCAAGACAGGCTTTTCTCTTATGTACTCCCATGCTCTGTGCGTGCTGATGGGTAAATTCAAGGCTATATATACCCATGGAATAGGGAGAACGTTGGGACCAAGCCCTAGGTGCACAGGGGTTGATAACCACAGCCATGAAAAACCACAAAGACAACATAGTTTCCAAGTTGATTTTAATCTTACAAATCCTTGCTATTCAGCATTTCTATGTCATATTTTGGAAACATAAGTTAATAGAGATTTTAAAAAGTTGATGACATTATGAGATTAATTGAAGTACATAATTAGTCATGTGTAGATTCTTGTCATTGGTGCCCACAACCACACACTCACACATGCTTGCAATTTGTTTTTCTTCCTTCAGTTGAGATCATGCAGCATGTTCAGTTTTATGACTTTGCAGTTCACTTAATAATAATATTACATGATGACCTTTACATGTCAGGATATATATACATATATAGATATGAAGATAAATCCACTTTAATCTTTTTAATGGGTGACTAGTATTTCCTGGCATACATCTCCAATAATTTACTTTAAAAATTCCTTATTGTGAACATTTAGGTCATTTTCTGTTTTTTATTATTACAAAAAAATGTATTTTCTCTGACTCTTGGTCTTCTAGAAAAATTTTCTTAGTATATCCTGTGCATTTCCTCAATCTAATTCAATAATGTTTTGGTCAATGCAGGATTTATACTTCAGCCTCTCTTGAGTAAATATGTTTTTTCCATTCCTTCAAGTATTTATTATTTGAGTTACAAACAATCCAATTATTATCTTTTAGTTATTTTTAAATGTGCAATTAAGTTATTATTAACTGTAGTCACCCTACTGGGCTATCAAATAGTAGGTTTTATTCATTCTTTCTAACTTTCATTTTGTAACCATTAAACATCCCCATCTCCCTGCCCAGAACCCCTCCCCCCACCTACCCTTCCCAGCCTTGGATAACCATCATTCTCTCTATGTCTGAGTTCAGTCATTCTGATTTTTAGATCCTACAAATAAGTGAGAAAATGCAATGTTTGTCTTTCTGTGCCTGGCTTATTTTGCTTGACATAACGTTCTCCAGTTCCATCCATGTTATTGCAAACAATAGGATCTCAACTTTTTAAGGCTAAATAGCACACCATTGTGTATAAGTACCACATATCTGTCATCCATTCATCTCTCTTTTAGAAAAAACTTATTTGATTTTATTTTAATTTCTGGTACATGTGTGCAGGATGTGCATGTTTGCTACATAGGTAAAAGTGGGCCATGGTAGTTTGCTGCACCTATCAACCCATCAGTTTATTTGATTTTATTTTAAGTTCTGGTATACATGTGCAGGATGTGCAGTTTTGCTACATAGATAAAAGTATGCCATGGTGGTTTGCTGCACCTGTCAACCCGTCACCTAGGTATTAATCCCCACCTGCATTAGCTATTTATCCTGAAGGTCTTTTTCCCCACAACCCTTCCCTCCCTGTGTTCATGTGTTCTCATTGTTAGCTTCCACTTATAAGTGAGAACATGTGGTGTTTGGTTTTCTCTTCCTGCATTAGTTTGCTGAGGATAATGGTTTCCAGCTCCGTTTATATCCCTGCAAAGGACATGATCTCATTCCTTTTTATGACTGCATAATATTTTATGATGTATATATCCCACATTTTCTTTATCCAATCTGGTAATTGATGGGCATTTAAGTTGATTCCATGTCTTTGCTATTGTGAATAGTGCCGCAATGAACATACACATGCGTGTATCTTTATAATATAATGATTTATATTCTTTTGGGTATATACCCAGTAGTGGGATTGCTGGATCAAATGGTATCTCTGGTTCTAGGTCTTTGAGGGATCACCACACTGTCTTCCACAATGGTTGAGCTAATTTACATTCCCACCAAAAGTGTAAAAGCGTTCCTATTTCTCCACAGCTTTGCCAGCATCTGTGGCATCTTTACTTTTTAATAATCGCCATTCTGACTGGCATGAGATAGTATCACATTGTGATTTTGATTTGCATTTCTCTAATGATCAGTGATGTTGAGCTTTTATTCATTTGTTTCCTGGCCACATAAATATCTTCTTTTGAGCAGTGTCTGTTCATGTCCTTTGCCAACTTTTTAATCAGGATTTATTTTCTCGTAAATTTGTTTAAGTTCCTACAGATGTGGTTTGCCAGTATTTTATTGAGGATTTCTGCATTGATGTTCATCAAGGATGTTGGCCTAAAGTTCCATTTTTTTTTTTTTTTTGTATCTCTGTCATGTTTTGGTAACAGGATGATGCTGGCCTCATAAAATGAATTAGGGAGGAGTCCCCCGTTTTTAATTGTTTGGAATTGTTTCAGAATAAGTGGTAGCAGCTCCTGTTTGTACCTCTGGTAGAATTTACCTGTAAATCCGTCTGGTCCTGGGCTTTTTTTTTTTTTGGTTGGCAAGCTATTTATTACTGCTTCGATTTCAGAACTTGTTATTTGTCTATTCAGGGATTCAGCTTCTTCGTGGTTCTGTCTTGGGAGGGTGTATGTGTCCAGGAATTTATCCATTTCTTCAAGATTTTCTAGTGTATTTGCATAGAGGTGTTTATAGTATTTTCTAATGGTTGTTTTTATTTCTGAGGGGTCAGTGGTAATCTCCCCTTCATCATTTTTTTGTTGTCTCTGTTTGATTCTTCTCTCTTTTCTTCCTCGTTAGTTTAACTAGTAGTCTATATATTTTATTAATTCTTTCAAAAAACACCTTCTGGATACACTGATTTTTTGAAGGGTTTTTCGTCTCTATCTCCTTCAGTTCCACTCTGATCTTGGTTATTTCTTGTCTTCTGCTAGCTTTGGGGTTTGTTTGTTCTTGGTTCTCTAGTTCTTTTAGTTGTGATTTTAGTGTTTTAATTTGAAGTCTTTCTAGATTTTTGATGTGGGCATTTAGTGTATAAATTTTCCTCTTAACACTATTTTAGCTGCATCCCAGAGATTCTGGTACATTGTCTCTTTGTTCTCATTGCTTTCAAAGAACTTCTTGATTTCTACCTTAATTTCATTATTTACCCAGGAGTCACTCAGGAGCAGGTTGTTCAATTTCCATGTAGTTGTGTGGTTTTGAATGAGTTTCTTAATCTTGAGTTTTAATTTGATTGTACCCTGGTCTGAAAGACTGTTATAATTTCATTTCTTTTGGATTTTCTGAGGACTGTTTTACTTCTAATTGTGTGAGCCATTTTAGAGTAAGTGCCGTGTGGCAGTGAGAAGAATGTATAGTATGTTGTTTTGGGGTGGAGAGTTCTGTAGATGTCTATTGGGTTCACTTCATCCAGAGCTGAGTTCAAGTCCTGAATATCCTTGTTAATGTTTTGTCTCAATGACATGTCTAATATTCACAGTGGGGTGTTAAAGCCTCCCACTATTATTGTGTAGGAGTCTAAGTCTCTTTGTATGTCTCTAAGAACTTGTTTTATGAATCTGGGTGCTCCTGTATTTGATGCATATAATTATAATAGTTAGCTCTTCTTGTTGAATTGATCCCCTTATCATTATGTAATGTCCTTCTGTGTCTTTTTTGATCTTTGTTGATTTAAAGTCTGTTTTGTCAGAAACTAGGACTGCAACCCCTGCTTTTTTCTGCTTTCCATTTGGTTGGTAAATTTTCCTCCACCCCTTTATTTTGAGCCCATATGTCATTGCATATAAGATGAGTCTCTTGAATACAGCACACTGATGGGTCTTGACCCTTTATCCAGCTTGCCATTCTGTGTCTTTTAATTGAAGCATTTAGTCCATTCACATTTAAGGTTAATATTGTTATGTGTGAATTTGATCCTGACCTGATGACGCTAGCTGGTTATCATGCAGACTTGTTGATGTAGTTGCTTCATAGTATCATTGGTCTTTGTACTTCAGCATGTTTTTGAAGTGGGTGGTAATGGTTTTTCCTTTCTGTATTTAGTGATTTTTTCAGTAGCTCTTGCAAGGCAGGCCTGGTGGTGACAAATTTCCTCAGCATTTTCTTTTCTGAAAAGGATTTTATTTCTCCTTCAATTATGAAGTTAGTGTGGCTGGATATAAAATTCTGGGTTGAAAATTCTTCTTTTTTTTTAAAGAATGTTGGATATTGGCCCCCAATTTCTTCTGGCTTGTAGGGTTCTGCTCTGTTAGTCTGATGGGCTTCCCTTTGTCGGTGACCTGGCCTTTCTCTCTGGCTGTTCTTAACATTTTTTCCTTCATTTTGACCTTGGAAAATCTGATGATTATGTGTCTTGGGGTTGATCTTCTCATGGAGTATCTTACTGGGCTTCTATGAATTTCCTGGATTTGAATGTTGGCCTGTCTTGCTTTGTTAGGAAAGTTCTACTGGATGATATCCTGAAGTGTGTTTTTCAGCTTGGTTCCATTCTCCCTGTCTCCTTCAGGTACCTCAATTAGTCATAGGTTTGGTCTTTTTACATAACCCATAGTTCTCAGAGTTTTTGTTCATCCCTTTTTATTCTTTTTTCTCTAATCTTGTCTGCCGGTGTTATTTCAGCAAGATAGTCTTCAAGCTTTGAAATTTTTCTCTCTGCTTGGTCTATTCAGTTATTGATACTCGTAGTTGCATTGTGAAGTTCTCGTGTTGTGTTTTGGTCATTCATGTTCCTTTCTAAACTGGTCATTCTGGTTAACAGCTCCTGTAATGTTTTATCATGGTTCTTAGCTTCTTTGCATTGGGTTAGAACATGCTCTTTTAGCTCAGCAAAATTTGTTGTTACCCACCTTCTAAAGCCTACTTCTGCCAATTCATCCATCTCGGCCTCTGCTCAGTTCTGTGCCCTTGCTGGATAGGTGTTGCTATAATTTTCAGAAGAAGCACTTTGGCTTCTTGAGTTTTCACTGTTTGTTGTTGTTGTTGTTGTTGATTCTTTCTCATCTTTGCAAGTTTGTCTATCTTTGATCTTGGAGGCTGCTGGCCTTTGGATGGAGTTTTTGTGGGGACTTTTGTGTTGATGCTGCTGTTGTTGCTTTCTGTTTGTTTGTTTTTTTAACCGGCCCCTTTTGTGTTGGACTGCTGTGATTTTCTGGTGGTCCACTTCAGATCCTATTTGCCTGGTCTCTTCCACACCTGGAGGTGTCACCAGTGGAGGCTGCAGAGCTGCAAAGATGGCTGAATGCTCCTTCTTCTGGGATCTCTTTCCCAGAGGGGCACCGACCTGATGCTGGCATGAACACTCCTGTAAAAGGTATCTGGTGATGACCCCTGTTGGGGGTTCTTACCCAGTCAGGAGGCAAGAGATCTGGGACCCACTTAAGGAAGCACTCTGGCTGCCCCTTGGTTGAGGTGGTGTGCTGCACTGGGGAAAATCCCACTGGTCCAAGCTGCCTGGATTCCTCAGAGCCAGCAGGGGGAAAGACTAAGTCTGCTGATCCACAGAGACATCGCCACCCCTGACCCCAGGGACTCAGTCACAGGGAGATCAGAGTTCTGTTTCTAAATTCCTGGCTGGAGTTGCTAAAATTTTTACATGGAGGTCCCACCCAGTGAGGAAGGATGGGTCAGGGTCCAGCCTAAAGAGGCAGTCTGGCCACAATCTGCCACAGCCACTGTGCTGTGCTGTGGGGAATTTTTCCTGGATTCAAACTGTCTAGTTTCCCTGGCACCAACGGGGGAAAATTGGCAGACTGGAGCTTCAGTGATGGCTGCCTCCCCCTTCGCTGGGAGCTTGGTCATCTTAGGCAGCAGGCAGCTGCAGTGATTTTGGCCTCCCCTCCCCCGGGTAACATCATTGACTTAGGCAGTCTCTAACCAAGTGGCCTCTGTGAATCTGTGTAACTCTGTTCTTGGGACCCAATACCCTGGTGGTGTGGGCTTACAGGAGGAATCTCCTGATCCATGGGTTGCACAAATCAGTGGAAATAGCATGGTTTCCCCGGCAGGGTAGCACAATAACTCACCACCTCTTTTGGCTGGAGGTGGGAGTTCCCCTTGCTCCATGTGTCTCCCAGGTGGGCCATCACATCACCCTGCTATTCTTCACTCTCCATGGGTCTCACCAGCCACCCAGTCAGTCCCAATGAGAGAACCTGGATACCTCAGTTTGCAGTACAGGATTCACTGGCTTTTTCACTCTTTTCAATGGAAGCCTCTGACTGCAGCTGTTTCTATTCAGCCATCTTGGCCCCTCCCCCATTCATCTCTTGATGGACATTTAGGTTGCTTCCAAATCTTAGTTATTTTAAACAGTGCTGCAAGGAGCATGAGAGTGCAGATATCTCTTTGATATAATGATGTCCTGTTTTGGGGTATATATTCAGCAGTGGGATTGCTGGATCCTCTGGTAGCTGTATTTTTAGTTCTTTTGAGGATCATCCAAACTGCTTTCCATAGATTTTACTTATTTATATCCCCAACAGCAGTGTATGATGCTTTCCTTTTCTCCACATCTTCACCAGCATTTGTTATTTCATGTCTCCTGGATAGAAGCCATTTTAACTGGGGTGAGATGATATCTCATTGCAGTTTTGATTTACATTTCTGTTATGATCAGTGATGTTGCACATGTTTTTATATGCCTGTTTGCCATTTGTATGTCTTCTTCTAAGACATTTCTTTTCACACCTTTTGCCCATTTTTGGATCAGATTATTATATTTTTTCCCATAAAGTTGTTTGAGCTCCTCATATGTTCTGGTTATTAATCCCTTATCAGATGGGT